>NC_000001.11:244062909-244214424 GCF_000001405.40 Homo sapiens | reverse complement strand
TGGCCAGTGGAGACCAGGCCAGCAAAGCAAAGGAACCTCAGCAGCTGTTTTTTTCCAGAGTGCCGAAGGCTGCAATCTTAGCCCGGCTCAGCTGTCACGGTGAAACCTAGTGGGGTCCTGCCGGGAGAGCACAGATGGCTCAGGGCCATCGGTCCCACCCCTGGAAAACCACAGTTGGAATCTGTGTCCTGTGGGCAGGGGTCTCCCATGCAGTGTGCTCTGTGGCCAACCCCCTGCCCAGGGAAGCATTGCTTTTTCACTCGAAGGGAACTGCATTATTGGGTAATGCTTCGGGCATAGGAAGAACAGTATTTAAGAATGCGCAGGATGACAAACTTTATCTTCTCCCTCAAACTTTTTTCTTGTTCTTTGGGTTTTATATATTTTTTTTCTTTTTTGAGACAGGGTCTCACTCTGTCACCCAGGCTGGAGTGCAGTGGCACGATCTCAGCTCACTGCAACCTCCACCTCCCAGGTTCAAGCAATTTTCCTGCCTCAGCCTCTCGAGTGGCTGGGACTACAGGTGCCCACCACCATGCTCGGCTAATTTTTGTATTTTTAGTAGAGACGGGGTTTCACCACGTTGGCCAGGCTGGTCTTGAACTCCTGGCCTCAAGTGACCTGCCCACCTCGGCCTCCCAAAGTGCTGGGATTACAGGAGTGAGCCACCAAGCATGGCCCTCCCTCAAACTTTGAATGTCTTATCCACTGTCTTCACTTTCTCTTTCCTGCTTTTTTGTTCTTGACACTCCATTTGTGTCTCTGGAGGACTGGCTAAGTATTAGATAACTATTAAATGACAAATAATAATGACATTTAATAAATATTAAATGTTAAATGTGCAATGTGCTTCTTTGTTAATTAAGCTAAAACAGAGGAATACAAAAGTTTCCATCTATGTGAGGGTCACCCTCATCTCAACTTCTGGTTCTTTCCTGAAGGAAGTCTATGAAAAATCAAGATTCCCCATTCATTATAATGCCCCATAGAAACGGATTATTCTTCTGATGAAAAGGGGGAAAGGATCAATGGTAAACAAAGAACGCTAAAAAGGAGATTGGGAGCAGAATAGCTTAGAGGTTCCAAAGATGACTTGCAGAACCCACGCACAGGGCTTTGAGTGCTAACTCTGACACATTGTTGGGGGACCTTGGGCAAGTCCCTTAAACCATCAGAACCTCAGCTTTCTCATTTGTGAAATGGGAACAATAATACTGAGACTACCGGGAAGGCAACACGAGGTAATGTGGAATGCTCCATAGTTCGCAAGAGCTCAGGAAATGTGGGCTCCATTTCCCTCCTCCTTTTCCCCTCTTAAAGTCTTGATATTTTTCAGCTGTGTACGAACAACACTGGGATGGGCTTTGGCAGATCGTTTAAGGCAAGTTGACTGCCCAGAAGAATTTGTTCCAATCCTAAGGCCTCTCCATATTAATAGGACTGATTGTGTCAAAGCTGATGGAGTCTTTGGTTCCTGGCCAGGGTGCAGAAGCATGAGGGCCTCTTTCATGCTTATGAATGACTGGGTTTGGTGAGCTTCTTTGATGAGCTTCTTTGTCCATATTCAAGGGAATGGGGTCAGTGTCCCTTCCCTAGAAACACTGCACCCACATCTTTGCCCCTTAAAGGGCTGCTTTGTTGTGTCTGCTGTTGTTTTATCTAAACTTTCTTTAAATTGACCTCCTTTCTCTGCAGTATATGCTAAAATAATTGGCCCCTGACCAAATATTTCTGAAAGGAGCCCTAATGCTTTTGGTTAAATGCCAAATAAACAAGTCTCCTGCTGGGGGAGGGTCCTCTTCTGACAGACCCAAAGCCTTGCAGAGCATGAGGCATTGACCACTGTCCTCTCCGCAGATGGAGAGACTCCCCAGGGTCTGTCCGCCTGAGAATAGAGCCTACCCTTCTGTGTGGTGGCACCATCTCCCCACTCTTTGTCTGTCTGCCCTGCAAGGCGTCCCTGTCCTCTGGCTCAGCTACTGTTCCAGGATCAACAAACATGTTGACTTACAGTAAGTCCTCTTGGCTCCCCCATCCCCTGCTCCCTCCCATTGCCCAGAACCATGACATGGAATTAAAATGTGGCCGAACACCCAATGAAGCTATTATGATTTGAACCCAATGAGTATGACCTGACACTCCACGAGGCTGGTTGGGTTTCAGTGGCTAAAACTGCCCAGCGTGCTCAGTTATTTCTTGACACAGATTTCACTCTCTAAAACGGCCTCTCAAAAAAGGATGGTGAGCACTACAATCCCATTTTGAGGATGAATTTGAGAAAGAATGACCTGGAAGAGTACAAATCAAAATGTTAGCATAAGCTGCATCTCCAGCATGGGATTATAGTTTATTTATTTTATTTTATTTCTTAGCTGTATTTTCTAAAATTTCCCTAATAGTCATGTTTCATTCTTGCAATAAAAAAATGAAAAGTTAGGTTTTCAAGTAAATATTGCTAAAACAGTGGCCCACAAATACATCATTTTTTTTCCTGTAGGATGAGCCAAATGCTGACGGTTTTCCTTTTTTTCAGGTATAAATCATTATTTGCTTTGTGTGAGTTGGTGAGTGCTATTTACAAGGCTATTTTAAACTAACAAGCTTATTTTGGAAGGTTATGATAGACTTAGAGGGAATTACAGGATTTGAGTTGGGCAATATCTTGGACGCAGTGCCTGTTATGATGGACAAGAGAAGAAATGACTAAGTGCCTCTTTGGCGGAGACGGAGCCGGAGCAAGCCACTTTAAGTTCCAATGAATTCAAGTAATTACCTTTTTTATATGTCAGTAAAAAACTTCAGCACCCCCTAGAGAGGCTAGGTGTGGATGGTGTCTCTCTTTAACACTTCTTTTCCCAAGACTGGCTAAGGAAGGAATTTGGCTTGATTAGGAACCTTAGTGCTTGCAAGCGTGTGTGTTGAGGTGTTTTTCTGGTGAGTGGTTAACTCATGTTTCAGAACAACAGGGCAGCATTTAGAACATAAAAGAGACACGCAAGATGACTTTCCCGCCAATGGGACGCTCTGGGTTTAGGTAACACTGAACCCTGTGGATGCGCAGAGGTGCTTCCTGACCTGCACTGAAGCCTGCAGAAGGTAGAGGGCGCCATGGGTGGAATTCCCACTTGGCTCCCATATCCGCTGTCAAGTTCCTTAGCTTCCGCTCTGTCCCTGAGTAATGGGAGCAGCTGATCCTGTGTTTCAATGAGTGCTTGCTTTCTGCCTCCAGGGCCCCAGGGAGACCCAGGCCCGCCAGTACCCAGGGCCTGTGTGCGCAGAGTCCGGGTGTTGGAGGCCGCTGCGGAGGGGCTGGCACGGTGGGCTGGGCCGGGAGCCGCAGCGCCCCAGGCGTGGTGTGCCAAGTCTCAGCAGAGCAGACCGGGCTTGACCGACGCTGGCTCCGAGCAGGCCGGGCGAGCCCTCCATTTTGGAAAGGCTCAGGGGATGTTGAAAGGATCTGGCAAGGTTCAGGCCTGCTACAGAGAATCGGTGCTTCTCCACCCGCTTGGATTTGGTGAACACTTCGCAGACACAGGCGGTGATGCCAGCCTTACGAATAAAGAGACTTCCAGAATATCCTGGGGCTCACCTAAGGGAGGGCTGCTGGAGAAGAGTGGCTAGGATGGGAACCTGTGATATTTTCATAGGAAATGAGCGTTTCGTCTGTGCAAACAGTGCACACGAAATCTCCTTTGCGTTACACGTTGGAAATGGTTTTGTGTTCAGAGCCAATGCGGCGGCTTGGGGTCTAGTGTTGGAAAGAATCATAACCCTGATCCTAAAGAGAATGTCAGGTTCTGGGAAGTACAATCAAACATAAAGTTCATTCCAATATCTGGCCCGAGAAGGCAGGCCGGGGGAACATTTCTTTATGTAATAGGGATTCCCATCAAAGTTGTTTATAAGCTGTTTTATGATGCTGTGAGTTGTGATGCAAATCCTGTTCTCTTATTGATTTATGTTATGGGTTTGTGGACTGTCAAAATTACAAAAATAAATCTTAATTTGGGCTATTATAAGTTCAGAATTTGTGATAGCTCAGATGTGAATCTATGAACGTTTATCTTTGTCTATTTAGTTACCTGTTTCTTCTTAGAGAATACAGATTAACAGGACAAAAAAAAAAAAAAAAAAAGCCCCGATGAACAATGTTTAAAATCATTGACGGAAGAAATTGTTTCCAAGCACCCACAAGTAAATAAACACACATGTATTGAACACTGCTGGTCACCACGGGGTGGGGGTGGGGGTAAGGATATAAAGAGAAAGAGGAAGTCTCTGCCCTCAGCATTTAAAACCAACACTAGGTGAGGTGTGGTGGCTCCTGCCTGTATCCCAGCATTTTGGCAGTCCAAGGCAGGAGCATTGCTTGAGGCCAGGAATTCGAGACCAGTCCGGGGAACATAGCCAAATAAAAAAATTAGTCTAGCATGGTGGTGTGTACTTGTAGTCCTAGCTTCTTGGGAGGCTGAGGCTGGAGGATCTCTTGAGCCCAGGAGTTGGGTGTTACAGTGAGCTATGATTGTGTCACTGCACCCTAGTCTGGGTGACAGAGTGAGACCCTGTCTCTAAAAAAAAAAAAGTTAAAATTAAAAAAAAGCAAAAACAAACGCCAAGGGCTCAAATCACTAAGGGCTCAAATAAATTTAATACAAGACAGAGTGCTTTAAATATATCCCTTTCATTCCCAACCTTCTTAAAAGAGGAAATTATGTTTCTTGCTGCCTTCCTGTACCTCACGCTCAAATCTCAAACCGACGAAGCCTGATTTCTTTTAAAAACCTTTTTTTAATTTTCAAAAATTAGTTTTTACTTTTTAGAGATTATTTTTTGGAGACGGAGTTCTCACTATGTTGCCCTGGCTAGGCTCCAACTCCTAGGCACAAGCGATCCTCCCGCCTCAGCCTCCCAAGTAGCTGGGACAACATGCATGTGCCACCATGCCTGGCTTGAAGCCTGATTTCTAATCCTTCCAATCAACTGAAATGCTAAACATTCACTAATCAATAGGCAGTCAGGAGCCTGTCTTCAGTTCTCCTCTTGCTTAAATCTTAGCAGCATTCGATGCTACCGATTGTTTTCGACTTCTTGTTACACTATGATCCCTGGATTCTTTCTCCTGTCTGGTTTCCATCCCAGCTTGTGAATATTCTTTTAGAGGCTCTTACTGACTCTTCTCTCAGTCTTACAATGCCATTGTTTCCCAGGGTTTCATCCTCATGTTTTCTCTTCTCACTCCGGATGCTTTCTCTGAACAAGCTCATAAGCTCCCATTATTTCAACCACAAGTGATATATACCATAACTCAGAAATCTGCTCTTAGCGCTGACCTCCCCACCGACAAGTGTAAGCTTCCTAAAGCTCCTGAGCACTAAGTGGCATACAAAGAGGAAGATTATTATGTTGGCCGTGTGAGGAATGGATTGGACAGAGGTACAGTAGGGAAGGCATGTGGACTAAGAGCCTTTTGGGTCTAGGTGAGGGGTTATGAGGTGCCTTGAACATCTTGATCTACTGTAAATTTGCTTTACTTCCATTCTGCCTCTTCCCACAATATCTTGAGTTATGTGTTTATGTGCCCACCTCCTTTACCAGGCTGTGAGTTATTTGAGGGGAAAGACTATGACTCTCATCTTTGTCTCTTTCGTCCACAGTAAATATGGTAGTATGAGCTACTTACACCATTCAGGCAGCAGTGGGATAGGAAAAGAGGGAAGACATCTTTGATGTTGATACACTCATTGAAGGCACTAGTTGACCAGTTGGATGTGAAGTCTGAGGAGGTGAGAGGAATGGAGGAGGATGCTGAGCATCAAGTCCGGGTGACTGGGGCTGGTGAGACCATGAACTGAGAGAAGGCACACGGAAACAGGGGGCGGTGGAGCCAGCGTGTTGGGATTTGGGTGCAGAGAGACTGAGGCACAGTGGAGTTTGGATGTGGAAATGCTCAGGAGGCAGGTGGAAGCACAACACTGTGTTGACCTGCTGCGACTTAGTTCATGAAACTGAAAGCATTGAGGCTGGGAGTTTAAAAAATGGAATTACGCTAGGTATATCTCCTAATGCCATCCCTCCCCACTCCCCTCACCCCACAACAGGCCCCGGTGTGTGATGTTCCCCTTCCTGTGTCCAAGTGTTTTATGACGAGTTAATGGGTGCAGCACACCAACATGGCACACGTATACATATGTAACAAACCTGCACGTTGTGCACATGTACCCTAGAACTTAAAGTAATATATATGGAATTACCCCCTGAATAATGGCTTCTGAGGGTTTAGGAAGGTCCTTAGAAATCATCTAATCCAATTGTTTGTTGAACGCCTGACTCCTCTGTACAGCTTTCCAGCTGACCTTCCTGCACTTTGGTCTCAGTTGGCAAACTCTCCCTGTGTTTACAGCATTTTTCCTTTTTGATTCACCTTCAAAGACTTCAAAGTCTCTTTTACTTCCAGTTTTAAGTTTCTCTAGCCTTTTTGTCATAACAGATTTTTGTCAGTTATCTGTTTAGAGAGAACTTTTCTTTCTTTCTTTTTTTTTTTAGAGATAGGGTCTTGCTATGTTGCCAAGGCTGGTCTGAAGTCCTCACCTTAAGTGATTCTCCTGCCTTGGCCTCCCAAAGTGCTGGGATTAAAGGCATGAGCCACCATGCCTGGCCTAGAGAAATCTATTACTGAACATTTAGCTTAGGGGTCCATAATTTTACTGTTGGGCTATCTGAAAGTAGGGTTGTTTTAGACTCTGTAAGAGAAGCTTTGGGTTAACTGGGAGACAAAATGTAAGAATTGGCTTAATTCACAGCAACTGACTCTATTATATCTCCAAGGTTTCCACTCTTGGATTTGCTAACTCTTAGGGAAGCTAGAAGCAGACTGCCTGCATGTGGGTCTTGGCTGTATTCCCTACCAGCTGGGAACATTCGGCAGGTTACTTAACCGCTGAGAACTTTTGTTTCTTCCAGTAAATGGAGATACTGGTGGTATGAATTTCATAGGGTTGTTAAGAAGATTGAACATGAAATGCTTAAACAGTCTCTGCCATGGAGTAAGTCTTCATGATGAATATTAGCTTTTATAATTATGACCTCAGGCACACCCATCCACACACAGAGCAGTCACCACCAGGGAAACATGGTGGATTGAGGAGAGATGGCAGAAGTGGCCCTCGCCTCATCTAATGACAAAGAAAGGAAATGACTAGAACCGATGAGGTCTAAATGTAATGGAGAGGAAGCTTCAGCAATGAGCCAAGAGTCCCTCTGCTCACAGTTTTCCAAGGGAGAGAATTACGGGAAGACACAGCTTCCGGCATTTAGAAGTGAGAATGTTTTCATCATCAAAATAGTGAGGTCTATTTTAAATAGTTTGGCTAATTAGGTGCTGATTAAATTGCATTGCTCCCATATGTTTGTGCTTTCTTCTATGCAGAGTTTATCTGCCTGAAAAGTCTAGGTAAATTATGTGTCTATGAAGGAATTCTTTGATACCTTGCACCTAGTAAGCACTCAGAAGTATTGAGTAAAATTATTTTATGAAGCTAATTATCATAATGGTACAAACAGCGTCTAATATGTTTGAATGCTTATTCTGTGCTTCACATAACTATCTCATTTAATCCTGTGAGGTTGGTGCTGTCATCATTTCAATTAATTCCTAAGAGACTGAAGTTAAAGACTAGAGGATCCTTGGTGTGTCAAGATCTCTCTGACGTTTCTTTGTGTGCTTGGATTTTTGTTGTTGGGTATTCTTAGCACAAAATGCACCTGCAGGAGAAATGATAGAAATGACTTTCAATGGATCTCTAAATAGACGTGGCTGCTAAACAATCAGGAGGGGTGTCATATGGCTGAGCTGAAGATAGGAGCTTCCTGAAGATGGTGTGGTGACTCTCGGAGTTTGATGGATGGAGAGGGGTGGAGTGGGTGGAGAGGAGGAAGAAGGAAGAAGAGTGAGCTGAAACCACCTGTGAAAGCAGACTGGCAAAGGGCCCTTGGGCATGGCAATTTTGGGTAAAGCTGAAAGATACTGGCCTGTCTTCACCAAAGATGGTGCTGACTCATTGTAACTGACCCCAGTCCATCTGTCCAGCCTCATCTCCTATTATTTACTCCTCTCAATGTCTACAGTCTACTTTCTGTTGCCTACATGCACCATTTCTTTCCACAAGTCTCTGTTTTACACACAGTGTGTCTTCTATCTTGCATGCCCTTCCTCATAGCCCCAGCTGGTAAATTTAATAAAATCATCACTGATTTTGTGCCCTTTCCTTTGCCAAACATTGAATATAGGTTATATCTAATTCTTGTAACAATTCTGCAAGGTAGGCATTATTATTTCCATTTTCCAGATGGAGAAACAGAGCCCCTCCCCCCGCCAAGGCTAAATAGTGAACACAAGATTATACAATTAGGTAGACCTAGCGCTAGGATGTAGGTCTGTCTGATTCTAAAGACTGTCACATTCTTCTTTTCCTATTCTTTTAAAAATTCCCCGTCACCCTTCAAGACTTAGCCTTGGCTGCTCTGCCTATGGAGTAGCCATTCTCTATTCTTGTACTTTCTTAATAAACTTGCTCTCACTAAATTAAAACAAAAAGCAAACAAAAAAGACTTAGCCTTAATGCTGTTTCCTCTGTGAAGCCGTAATGGAATTCCTCAGACAACTGCATATTCCTCGACAGTTCTGTAATGCTCTGTACACACCTACAAAAATAGTATTTATTAACGTTGTATTCTAATTAGATGTCTGCACGGCTTACCCAGTATAGATTTCATAAACAGATGGGAAGGAGTATAGCTTTATATATCTTTATAACCTCCATCTTCCAACCAAGCTTTTCTCATTGCTTGTCACATAATACACCCTTACTAAATTATTGTTGAATTAATGAATAAATTAATTAATGCTAAGGAGCTCATTTGTAAAGCTGTGAACTTCTTTCTCTTTGCCAGATTATCGATTCTGCCTCTAAGTATGTTCTCTGTCTGCATCCCACACTAGCGTGATGAACACTGACCAGATGGTTAGTTATGGAGACGTCCATACTTGGAACCCAAAGCCTGCATTCCAAGCCAGTGTGCTGGAGACTACTGGAGGCCACACCAGACCCTTGTCTACCTTCTCTGTGGCCTCCAAAAGAGCAGCAGTAGCAGCAGCACCAAATTTAAGGACAATGTGAAACCCTGAATTAACCCTTCAGGATCTGACCTGGCTGTAGAAGTCTTTGGCCTTCCCAATCCAAACCCATCTTACAGCATTTGCTGAGTTACCTCACCTCACCATCATTCCGCACAGACACGCAATACTTTCCTTCCATGGCTGCTGTGGCTGATGCTTTTCCCAAATGTTTGTTGTAGCCAAATATCCAAGCCCCAGCACTCATGTGCAGTTTCTGTTTTAATATCAGCAGAATCACTTAACATCTGAGAGGTTCAGGCACATTTCTTGGCAATCATTCCCTGGCCTCTGTCAGTCTTTGACCTGCCTTCTTTTAGATTCCATCTGCCTCTCCTCCTTCAAAACATGATGTGACTTATTTCCAGAACAGTTTTCTAGAAACTGAGCTTATGGGATAATGGACTGAGCCAGTCTCCATCATAGAAAGGGTTTCTACACCTTCCCCAGTGACTGACCAAAGCCGTGTTGCTATTCAACAGATAGCGACATGTCCATAGCATTGAAACAGTGCAACACTGTGCAGATAGTGACATGGCTGTACAATCAATAACAGTGTGCCAATGGGCACTCTGAGTCCCAAGGAGGCATTTCCATGAATGTCTTCGTCACAATGTGCAACAGCAACCAGTCATTAAACTTGATTCTCAGAGTCGTTCTACAAGGAATATAGACTTTACATTATACATGCTCCTCCTTGCTGGAGTAATTGTCCATGCCGATTTATGCCAGTTGTCCCAATGTCACACTGTCCTGCCTTGCCTTTGTCATAGGCAGGAGTATCCAGGTTTGGAGGATAAAGCCTTCCACCTGTTTGCTATCTCCTCATCCCACCCCAGCCTGTGAATAGCACACAAGTCTAGCTTTGCATTAACTGTAGCAAGGGAGTATATTGTGCTGTGCATCTGGGCACGGGAAGAAGCCCAGACAAGAAAGGGCAGGCAACTAGGCAGGCATGTGTGAACAAACGGGGATCTCCAGCCAAGCCGACCCTTTCCCAGGCACAGGCAGGGCAGGCTGCTGTAGGGGCTGAAATTCACCGCAAGGTGGTCTCTGTCACCGGATACAGCAGGCTCATCTAAGAGGCACTTCCTAGGAGCCTCCGGGAGACTGTGCGTTTTTTTCTGGCAAAGGACATTATGTAAATGCTCAGGGAAGAGTCATTAACTGATTAACAGATGAGTATAAATTAGCGCGTATGATTAAGTGATTAATACCTATTGTGAACTAGCAAAGCCCAAAGAGAATAGAGTCTGATGAAATGAGACTAAATATTTTGCCTTTGCCATTGCACGGTTTTTAGGTGGATGTGTGGCATCTCATTTGGATGTTTTTGCTTCTATTATTTTATCACAGGGAAAGAAGAAATGAGGAAGGGTAGAGAAACCAATCTTTTTTTTTTTTTTTTTTTTTTGAGATAGAGTCTCACTCTATCACCCAAGCTGGAGTGCAGTGGCAAGATCTCAGCTCACTGCAACCTCTGCCTCCCAGGTTCAAGTGATTCTCCTGCCTCAGCCTCCTGAGTAGCTGGGACTACAGGCTCATGCCACCACATCTGGCTAATTTTTGTATTTTTAGTAGAAACGGGGTTTCACTATGTTGGCCAGGTTGGTCTCGAACTCCTGACCTCATGATCCGCCCACCTCGGCCTCCCAAAGTGCTGGGATTACAGGCATGAACCATCGCACCCGGCCTGAGAAACCGATCTTTAGTAAACCTAGACACATGGTACACATGGCCATATGGGCCCTCTCGGCTGCTGCATGTGGAGATAGCTGTTGCCCCGCTTTATAGACCAAGCAATGGGGCTTGCAGCAGCCAAGCAAACTGCCCAAGGTGGCAGAAGCAGGACTGGCAGCCGGGATGTAACTCACATCTCATCACCTTCCTACAGGGCCATCCTTCCCCGGGTGATGAGAAACTTAAAGGAAAAACATGGCCTGATCTTGGATGAATTTTAAGAATAGTGATGATTGGGAAAATGAAGAGAATGTGAAATTGGTGATGGTGACGACCATCTCAATTACTGACTGCCAGGCACCCTGCTGAACTTTTCATGTTTGTTATTTTACTTAATACATATAAAATGCCTGTGAAGTAGGTGTTACGAACATCTTTTTGCAAATGAGAAAATCAAAGTTCAGAGACAGTAACTGCTTGTGCCAGAATTCAAGCCCAGCTGTGTCTGGTAACAAAGCCTGTGTACCCCTCAGCCCTGGGTCTGCTGGAGCGGGACCCAAGGAGGGATGAAAACTCCCAACTAGAACTTGATGCCAAGAAGCCTTGAAGTTCCCAACTTTGGGACAGAGCTGGGGTAGAACTTTACATCAGGATTTTGACTCACAAAGAAAAATTCTGACTAATGAAATTCTAGTATTAAATTGAGTGTCTAAAATAACTAAATATCAGCTAGAAAAGTATAGAAATTTTATTCTCTGTATTATGTTTGTAAAGGCAGATTGGAAGTCACATTTAGCTATTTTAATTGATTGCTATTGAGATAGGGAAAAATAACAACCCTTTTAAAGTCTATTATAGGAAGACATTGAATATTCAACGGACAATATAAGACCTTTGGGTGCTTAAGAGTGGGGATTCACAAAAGGAAATCCAGGGTGAAGCTGGGTGCCGAAATGCAATTTATTTCTTTCCATCGTTGCCAAAACCAAATCTAAGCTATTAGGCTGATGCTAAAGTAATTGCAACGTTTGCCATCGAAATTAATGGCAAAAACCGGAATTACTTTTGCACCAACCTAATATTTTTACTCGGGAAAAGCAAATTAAGTGCATGAATACAAAACAGAACAGTATTAACTTTGCTTAAGGCATGACAAAAATTTATCTAGGGGTCTTAGTCATCAACACATCAGTGTTAGCTCAATTAGGAAGAAAGAAAACCTTCCCTTCCCTTCTTCCCTATTCTGGTTTTCATAATTCCCTTTCCCAAGGTTCCAGGGGTCCTGGGATGGCTTCTGGAGATCCAAAAGCCTCACTGTGGGAGGATTTGGTCCTTGCTTCAGGGTGCTTCTCCTTCTCATCAGCCACTGAACTTGTCTCTCGGGGCCAGTTTTCAAATCAATTCATCAGATGGACAAATTCATGCAGATACTTAGCAAGTTGTTATTAAGCTTTAAAATAGGATCTGCTTTAACCTCTGTATGTGCTACCAATGCTGAACATTTTAGGGACGAGGGCGAGGGGGAAAGGAGCTACTTAGGAAAGGAGAGGTTTGTTGCAGGCTGCTCTGTGTAGGCCTGGGCAGGTCCTCAGGGACGGCCTGTGCAGTCCAACCTGAGTAGCGACAAGTGGGCTGTGGACGGGACAAATGGCCACAGGCTATGAGCGTAGGCAGTGGAGGAGACCGTGGCACAGATGTCACTGGCCATTGGGATCCCACCTGTATCCAGCCTCTGACCTCAGACAAACCGCCTGCTGACCTCAGCCTTTTTTTCCCCAAAATCATTTATGTCAGTGCCTGTTTGCACCAGAGCCCAAAGGAGAAATCCCCTTTCTTTACCCCAAACCTCTTGAGCTTCTGGAAGGCAAGAGCGCAGCTTACTCCATGCAAAGCCAGTGCCATGCTCACGCGGGCATTGATTAATGCCGCCAACACTGGTGAGGACCGCGTTCAGAGACCATCCAGCCTCAACCAGTTTAAGCATCCGTGTTCTTTGTGACTCAACTGTATTTCTCTGAGTAACCAACCCTGGGATCCACGTATCTGATGACAGATTTTTCCTGCTGTTCTAAATGTGCTGTCTCTGCTTTTGCATGTATCTCTATATATTTTTGCATTTTAGTATGTATATTCTTATAATTCACTAGTGAAATAAGCCAATGTGTAAACAGACCAATAGATGAAGTGCTCAGATTTGTAGAAATATCACAAGCTATTACCCGGCCATATTTAAAATCCCCTTTTAAGAAACATAGCAATATTATGTCAGATTGTTTGCTGCCCAGGGCTTCTGGCTGATATTTTTCTGGATCTCCTCTTTGTAATAGTAACACGAGACCATCTAAATGTCTACAGGGTGTGCACACTTTCCCCTGACATGCCCTGTATCTAGTACTTATTTTCTGTACTTAATACTTTAGGAAATCTCTACGGAGGTCCTCCAGCAAATGTTAGTGCTCTGAATGCCACAAATGCACTTGAGCCGTGAATGTTTCAATATTTGTAAATAATGTTAAAAGATTGCTTACCCCAAGGGACAGGGACATTAATTCTGTGGAAAACTGGGGCACAACAGCACTGGGGGACCTGGTCCCAGAATCCCCGGAGCAGGAAAGCAGGTAAATCAGAGCCCAGTTTGTGCCCAGTGTTGGCCACGCTGTCCCTGTCACTGTGGTTGGGAGGCAGCTGAAGCCAGGTGGGCGAGGAGCAGAGCGGCTGTGATCTCTCTAAGGTGGCCAGATGGCAGGGAGCAGCCTGCTGGGCATGGTAATGGCCAACCTAGGCATGGGCACTTTTTGCTGGAATTTAATCTCTGTTATCAGGGCGCCAGGTGACACGGGTCATCTTCCGCTTCAAGCCAAGTTACAGGACAACAGGAGAAATCCACCACCTGGCTGAGACACCTCGGTGAACAGCCTTCACATGAGCTGAGCTGCAAGTTGATCCCCAGAAAAGAAAACTTTTTCTTGTTTGGTCCTAAAGGGCTCTCCTGTCCAGTCCTGTGCAGAAGCTTGGCTGCCTTCAGGCCTTTGAGGGCTGAACTTGAAGTTTGTTTTCCTGCTGAACCTTTCACCTGACCCTGAGGGTCTCCGTGTTGTTCTGCAGACTCTAACTCCATCCTTACCCCAGGCCCAGCTCTGTCCCCTTTCCCTCACCTGTCTGTTTTCTTGTGTGCTGCTTATTTAAAGAATGTTAACAGCAATAGATTTAGCAGAGGTTGAACAAAATGGCTTTACAAAGAAGGACAATTTTCTATAAAAATAGTAGCCTAGAAAAGAATAGGTTGGGGGTTAAGGTCTTAAAATAACAGAAGCATTCAACAGAGGCTGGCTAGTTACTCTAGCCTGGGAATAGGGCTTGGTGGCTTGAACCAGGTGAGCTCTGCCATATAGTTAAAAAGTCCTTCAAGATCAAAGGCCCACAGCCCACCTCCTTTTTTTTTTTAACCACTCCTCAACAGCCATGTTACTTCTCAGTGACTGGCAGGTGCTATAAATAGCATCAGAATCATAGAACTGGAAGAGGATCTCCTGGTTATGTAGTTAATGTGTTTCTTTTGTGTTTGTTTTTGTTTTTGTTTGAGACAGAGTCTTGCTGTGTTGCCCAGGCTGGAGTGCAGTGGCGTGGTCTCGGCTCACTGCAACCTCCGCCTCCCGGGTTCAAGCAATTCTCCTGCCTCAGCCTCCTGAGTAGCTGGGATTGCAGGCGCCCGCCACCAGGCCCAGCTAATTTTTGTAATTTTAGTAGAGACGGGGTTTCACCATGTTGGCCAGGCTAGTCTCGAACTCCTGACCTCAGGCGATCCACCTGCCCTGGCCTCCCAAAGTGCTGGGATTACAGGCATGAGCCACCGTGCCCGGCCTGTGTTAGATGTTTCTGATGGGACTTTCCCCCCAAAGATTTTAACATTTATTAACCTTTGCATATGTTTTTGGGCCTCCTCCCTTTCCATCCCTGCCAATAATCTGAGAAACCCCCTCGATATGCAAATCACGGCAGCGTTAAAGAAAGGTCCAGTTTCCATAAAGGGATTTTTTTTTTTTCTAAAATTCAGCTGAGCTGAACTCCAAGTTGAGGCAACAGACCTTCAAGAATGAGATTGGGAACTGTGGCTTAGGGGAAGAGTCTTGATCCTTAGTCCTGTGAGATCAGTTATTGTTTTTCACAAACACATCTTCAGGCATTTGGAGGATTAATGCTGACTTGGGGGCCTAAGGTGAAGAACCGTTATAAGACGTTCATCAGTCCAGGAATCATGCTGGGGGGACAAAGCGGGGACAATCTGAGGTCCCCCTGGGGGTTATCCTGCTTGGGGCTAAGGAGAATTAGAAGGGGCAGGAAGGAGCTAAGACTCTGGAGATGAGACAGCTGCAGGAGCATAAGGAGTCTTCCGAGCTGGGCCGGGGTGCAAAAGCGAGTGCCCGTGGCAGGGCAGCAGTGGGGCATGTCCCACGTGCACACACCCGAGCATCCTCATATGTGTGTGCTGCTAGGAAAGTGGCCACAGGTTCTGAACCCGGGGAGGTGCCCAGGCACGTGGGAGAGAATGGGCAGAAAGACCTCACCTCAAAACGGAAAAAGGGTGAACACAGAGGTCAGGTGGGGTGAGGTGAAGGCGGGGGTCAGCCAGGGGATGTCTTGGAGAGTGCTGTCTGCTGGGCAGCTGCTGGTGGCTCTCAGAACCTGGCTCTGGGTCACGCCAGCTGCCCCCTGAAGCTGTCTGGCAGTGGACCTGGCAGCACTACCTGGTATATTGAGAGGGCAGGAGAAGAGCCTCAAGGAGGCAACTATGGTCTCAGGAGAGAGAGAGGAAGGTGCTATACCCTCTGGATGTTCGCATTTCCCCCATTCAGCATGCCCTGTCTTCTCCTTCGTGCTCCTCCCCTCCCACCTCTTCCCCTCTGACTCCCCTTTCACAGTCTGTTCTGTTGTGATTTCTCTTCCTCACCAATCTGCCATTCATGCTCATATTCATCTGCTTTCCCTCTTTGAATTTCAGGGCTTAGAGGAAATCTGGAATAAGGTGGTTCTTGGGTCCTGGGAAGTCAAACTCTGTGCTGTCTCATCCTATCCTCCCTGGCTTGGAGGGCAGGTAGGAGATGGGCAGGGGAAGTCCAGCTGGCAAGAAGGCACTTGGGATAGGCCAAAGGGTTTTCACTGGCCTAGAGGTGGAGGAAGGAATAGCAAAACAGGAATGCCTGTCTACCCTGCACCTTCTCCCAGACCACCGTCACCCAGTCCTGACAGCGAGTTACCTAATGACAATCAGTGAGAGTTTCCAGAAAGGTTGTGTGGGACTCAAGATTCCTGTAGGTTCAGTGTGGAATTGCCTGGAGGCCAAAGATGGACTGGGACCGTGCTTCTCAAGCACTAACGGCCACTTCCACCACTCAGGGAGCTTAGAAGCTCAGACGCAAGTCAGTAGGGCCCGGGCAGGCAGGGATTTGCATTTTCAGCCAATGCCAGGCAATTTCAGGCTGCTGGTGGGAGGCCCACATTCAAGCAGCAAAGAACACTACAACCTGTTTGGGCACTCCCGGGCCTGAGGCTGGATGTCTCATCTGGGGATTTTCTGAGGGATAAGAAGTCTTGCTTGGTGTTTCTGATAGCTGAGGTTCCAGGAAGATTGCACATGAGGAAAGAAATCCCAGGGCTAGCCTGAGCCACCAGTTCAGAGCTGGAGCAGAGGATCCCCAGGAGGCTATGACAACTTCACAGGCACCCCCAGTGCCTTGGGGATCACTTGATAAGGGTTCAGGAGTAGGACCGGCCAAGCCAAGCTCTAAAGTGAGTTTACCTTGGGATTCCTCCAGCTTATTCATCTTTCTTCCTTGCCCTACCTCCTAAAAGCCTTCCCAGCTTTCCAGTATCATTCTCCTATAAATAACTCTCTAAGTTCATCTTTACTGGGGAATAAATAAGAAGTCTCACACATTCTAGAAGGATTGATATTTTAAGAAGGACAGCATCAAGTAAAAAGGCCTGAACACTTGTGTCTACAGTTTGTCACATTCAAGGTGGCCTTACAGGCATGAACATTGACCCACATGGGAGGGGAATGATTTTTAACCCCATCTGGAGGCAACCGGCCTGACACTTTAGAGGCGGGGTTATGTTGTGTGATGGAAGAAACGCTGGACTGGCAGGCGAAATACCTCCCTCTCAAGGGTTTCATTCTCAACCATAAAGTGAGTGGTTTGGCCCAGGCAGATGACATTTAAGAACTCGCCAGTTCTTGAAGTCAACAGTTTTCCTCATCACATAGGAATCCACTGTCATGAACCAGAAGAACCCTGGATGCAATGGAGGCAATGATGCCCATGAGAACGGACCCTAGAGGGACTGGGGCCTTTCAACAGTATTTGTCCGCATCATGCTCACACCTGGACTCTCCTTCAAAGGAAGCGGGAGGAGCAAATGAAGTAAACACTAGGAGAGGGCTAATGCGTGTGGCTCTGAGCACTGACCCCAGGCCAAGACCAGCCTATAAGGGTTGGCATTAGTGATGTAAAGCTTGGAACTTGATCCTTTCCCAGGGAACAGAATGGGGGTGCGGTTCCTGAGAAAGCAGACTGAACAGAAATTAGCCTTCACCAGCTGCTCCTATAATTGCATTTAAATTCGGTTAAACTAATTTCTTACACTTGATAAAAGCAGTTGTCTTTCCAAATTATTTTCAGACTCTTCTATTCCAAGCACAATATAAATATATTATGGCCAGGTGAAAAGAGTCTTTCTCTCTGGGTCTCCCTGTCTCCCTTGTTCTTCTTGGCCCTTTCCTGGGATGAAGTTTATTACTGAGAGCTCAGAAAGCTGAACTGCCCTATTAGCATAAGATTCTGTGACTCATTGACTCACAGATTGTAAATCAGACTAGCATTGGATTTTAATTAATTATATTAATTTAGGGGAAACAACAAAACTGAAAAGTCTGCAGTGCTTCATTTACTGAGAAACTCTGAAATGTCTTTTATTTTTAGCAAGAGCCATAAAAACATCTCATACTGAAATAATGTAAAAATCAAGGAAGGGTTGTATTACTCAGCGTGATCGCGCCCTTTAAAAGGCTTTGACATTTTCTTTATTTTTGTAAGTTTTTTTAGAAAGAAAAAATATATATGATATATTACATACACATCCACACATATATACCAGGCCCTCTCTGTTACACTACTGACTGTAATTCAGTGTAAGATGTTTCTACCTTAGATCCTCTCAAGGGGAGATTAATTACTGAATTATCATAGAGAACATGCCATTAGTTAGTTTCATTTAAAAGACTGCCTCATGGTAAGAAACTCTCGGCCTGGCGCGGTGGCTCATGCCTGTAATCCCAGCACTTTGGGAGGCCTGGGCTGGCAGATCATGAGGTCAGGAGAATGAGACCATCCTGGCTAACATGGTGAAACCCTGTTTCTACTAAAAATACAAAAAATTAGCCAGGCGTGGTGGTGGGCGCCTGTAGTCCCAGCTACTTGGGAGGCTGAGGCAGGAGAGTGACATGAACCCCGGAGGCGGAGCTTGCAGTGAGCTGAGATGGCGCCACTGTACTCCAGCCTGGGTGACAGAGTGAGACTCCATCTCAAAAAAAAAAGAAACTCTCAAATACTTGTATATACACACATACACAAAATTCATTTCTTATTTATTCCTCACTTATCTTTAATCATATATCAACATGTGATTAACATATGTCAAGCTAACATTTGTTAGTGTGTTCTATGTGTCTGACACCTGTGCAGGTGCTGAGAGCCTAAAGGTAAACTGAGCTTTAGGAGAGCACAGTCTAGAAGGGAAGTCAGGAGGGTTCAACAGGGTTAAGTGGCATAATAGAATTAAGGACAGAGGGATGCGGAGCAGGAGGGAGCGCCTAGGAGAAACAGGGAAGACTTCTTGGAGGTGGTGGCACAAAGGAAAGTCAATCATGAAGGTCTAGAATTTTTAGTTCAGAGAACAACTATTACCAGCCCTCTAAGTGCCAGACACTGGCTAGATACTGGAGAATCCAGACATAAGCTAGACACAGTCAGCACCCTTTTGGAGTTTATAATCTAGTAGGGAGATTATCATTAATCAAAGAATAACACAGAAATTAAATTGCTATTGCAGTAAGAGCTTTTTAAGGAAAAGTATACGTGCTAATCGTATACTTTCTGGGGAGCTGAGCGATATGACAAAAGTGAGAATAGGCTTCCCTGACAGAGTGACATTTGAGCAGAGACCTGGCGGACAAGTAGGAGGGGCCAGCCAGGAGGAGGGATGGTAGAAAAAGCTTCCAGGCAGAAGAAACAGATATGCAAAGCACGAATAGGAGAGGAAGCTCGGAGTTTTCTAGAAACTGAAAAGAAGCCAGACTGGAAAAGAGCAAGGCAGGTGAGAGTGTCTTAAGATCAGGGCTGGACAGGTGAGCGGGAGCCAGACACACACACACACACACACACACACACACACACACACACGGAATCTGGGGAGGAGAATTATGAATTTAAAAGTGCCTAACACTGTGCCTAAGGCATAAGAAAATATATTATTTTCCCTCTTTCTGTACCCAGCATAGGTCTGTCTGTTTGACTGGTCTATGGAGTCTGCAACTTCATCCTGGTCTCCAGGAGTGTATTCTGTCCTATCGGCTCTGATATTTATTTCTAACCTAATTTTCCAGCTTGTCCCCTGCGTCTGTGACAACTCATAGTTTTTGGTATGATTACCCATCTGTGTGATGGAGTAGCTCATTCATTCAATTATATATTCAACAAATGCTTATTGAACACCACTTTTGTGCAGAAGTCCATTCCTCATTGAGCTTACAGTATAGCAAAGGCGTACGGTACATGCATAAAAATTATAATGGTGAACATGATAGTGGAGGCCCTAGATAGTGCACCAAGGCAAGGAAAAGAAAAATAAAGGTAAGATTGTGTTCATAAGAAATCCAAAATAATTAATAAGGGGTTTTATTCAGGTAGCTGGATATAATAGCAGTATAGAAAACTCAGTTGTGTTCCCAAAAATTAACAATAAAGTATATAAAAATAGGAAGCAACTAATATAAATATTTTTAAAGATATGTAAGTCTTCTATGGAAAAAAATTTTAAACTGCATTGAGAAATATTGAAGAAAGCCTAAATAAATTGAGCAATACTATATTCATGGATTGGGAAGACCCAATATTGGAAAGATCCTTATTTTCCCAAATTGATTTGCAGATTTGTATATCTCATGTATCCTAATCCTAATGAAAATCTCAGCAACTTTTTGTAGCATTTGACAAGTTGATTATAACATTTTTATGTAAATACAAACAATATCTCAGACTCTTTTGAAGAAAAACATTGAAGTAGGAGGATTTGATCTACCAGACACCAAGATATTTTTAAAGTTGTAGTATAGCAGGGTATTAGCCCAGAGATAGACAAAAGGCCAATGGAGCAGAATATAGGAGACAGAAAAGGTAGGACAGGACATGTAAGGACACTTGATATATGATAGAGGTCCATGGCAAGTCAGTGGGGAGAGGAGAAAAGAATGTCTTTTCAATGATGAAATCCAGGTAGATGAAAGTTCTATGTGTGAAAGGAAAAATGCTATAAGTTTTTAGATGATAATATGAAATATTATCATATGAGAAATATATGCAATCTCTCAAGATTCAAAAATGAAAGATGCATGAATTTGACTACATTAAAATTAAAAACTTGTGTTCATTAAAAGATACAATAAGAATAATAAAAGCTCAAACTGCAAGGTGGGATAAGATACAAACGTTGTATGTTAAAAATGTTGCAATACATTGAGAATAGGTAAAGAACTAATCCAAGCCAATGGGAAACACTCAATCCAATAGAAAAATGTGCAAAACCCAGCAAGTTAGCAAAGAAGAAATCCAAATGGCCAGTAAATATGTGTAAAACACTTTATTAGTAATGAGCAAATGCAAATTAAAACCACAAAGAGATAACATTAGAGATAACACAAAGAGATAATAGAAGGAGATACCACAAAGAGATAACACTCATCAGATTGGCAAGAATTTAAATCTGACAGTATTATTTGCCAAAATCTATTGGCAAAGATGTGTAATAATGGGAAGTCTCAGTCAGTGTTGTGGAGGGGATGGTGTAAATTAGTTTAACTGCTTTAGAAAAACAACTTGACGTTATCCACTACAGTTGAAGATTTATTCCACTTAAAACTCAGTTCTCTACTACTACGTACACCCTAGAGAAACTCATATATGTGTATGAGGATATATGTACCAGGATGTTTAAGGCAGAATTGCTTATAGTAACTCAAATCTGAACCAACAATGAATGGACAAATAAATTGGATATTCTTACAAAGGAAGATCAACTGTTAATACAAATAGAAGCAGCTATTTGCAAAGCGAATGACTCTCAAACTGTGTTGAACAGAAGACATAAGACAAAATAATATATGCAACATGATTTCCATTTATATAAAATTTTAAAACAAGTAAAACCAAACCATATTGTTTACAATGACATGTCACAGTGGGAAAACTATAAAGTAAAGCCAGAGAAGGATTATCATAAAATTCAGAACAGTAGTTTCTTCTATGGGAGAGGGAGAAAGATGTGATTAGAAAAGGGTACCTGGTGAGCTTCTCCTGCTGGCAATCTTCTACTTCTTGACCTGGGTGGTAGGTACAATAGGTTCACTTTATTACTATCTATTAAACTATACATTGTACATGTGCACTTTTTAATTTTTCTGAATGGATGTTACATTTTCTCCAATACGATTAAAAGAAAAACCATTGCATGTATAATTTGAGTACTCCCAAGGATTTCCAATCTTCTGGAATCACTCTTCTTTTTAACATCCTAATGAGGATAATGAGTCCCCATCATGTGCGACTGTGGGGAGTCTACTCCTCATCACCATGAATTGCTTTCCAGTCTCTGGATTATTTTAAATGTCCTCTCACTCCAAACTGTTAACTCCAGGGTGCATCTGGGCCACCTGACCACTGCCTTCCCTTGCAGTGATGCAGCTGCAACCAGCTGGCCCCAGAACAGAGGACCGGGTGCTCTCCACCTGCCCTGGTCCAAGCAGGGACTTAGTAGTCACGAAACCTTTTTAATCATCAACTCATCAGTGAAATATTTAACATGTACAAATGGATGAATATTTGTGAATAAATTTTGTACATGTACTACCATTATTAGCTAACATTTCAAGTGGATATACACCTGTATTTCAGAAATATTGACTTTTTTGGTCACCACCTTGAAAGATCTAATTAGTCATCACTGTATTTTTTCCTTAAGATGTATTTGACAAAGAGGCATTTTCTCGGGGTTCATTTTGTTTGCATTATCAGCCTTAACTTCAACTTTCAGTTTCTTTGCAGGAATATTTTTAAACTGCTAGTCCATTTTTTTTGTGAGGGTGAATTTCGTTAAATCTAGGTGATATAATCCATAAACTGACTCAACTGCTTATGTGTAAATTACAACACATTTCAATAAGTCAGAAGTAATGAATAACGCTATAGAAGTTATTCATTGCAGGTAACAAATTAGTCTAAAAAACTTAAAAAAAAACAAACAAACATTTATTATCTCACAGTTTCTGTGTGTCAGGAACCAGGCATGGAGTAGCTGGGTGCCTCTGAATCCAGGTCTCCCATGACGTTGGGGCTACCATCAGTGTCATCTGAAAGCTGGTCAGGATCGGGTAAAGGTAGGGAAAAGGGGGTTATCTGCTTCCAAACTCACTCATGTGGTGGTTGGCAAGCCTCAGTCCCTTGCCATATGGTCTCTCCATGGGTTGCCTTATAAGAGAGAACCCAAGACAGAAGTCACAATTTGACCACAGGCATGAGTCCTCAGCCAGGGCCAGGTTCATCGCCACGTGACCTGGGCAGTCACACAGGGCCCTGTGCTCATAAGGGCCCTCTGCACTTGGTTTAATGCTGTGTTGTGTCACTCCAAAGTACTTAATAGCTTTTAAACAAGGAGCCCCACGTTTTCGTTTTGCATCAAACCTTACCAATGATGAAGCAGATCTTGCCTCTGGAAGTCATGCTTTTGCTAAATGTCACTGACCTCAGGTTAGAGCTGGATTTCACCAGGCGAGGACACCTAACTTGAGAGCAATCAGATTCTCTCTCAGGAATTTCGCTAGTCGGAGACTGGGAACAGGATTCAAGTCACATAAATGGTGAAACTCTAAAGACAAGGTCCAGACAATGATGCTTTTGAGGTCACCAAAAGCAGCCATCGGTGCTTCCCAAGTCATGGTCATCCGGTTCTTCCCTGGATTCCATGATATGTCCCAGGCTCTTACTAATAAATTTCTCTTTTTGCTTAATCTACCTATATTTGGGTTTTGTTCTTTGTAGCCAAAGAATCTTAATAAATTCAACCAATTTTGTGGGTTAATGGTACTTTAGCTAGGATGTATAATAGTCAGTGGTGTGCTGGTGGTGGCTTACACACTGTCTAGTCAATTTTGTGCATCTCTTCTAAAATCCAAGTTCAATGATGCCATGCATGTAGCTGGAAACCCACCACAGTGGGATTATTTACACCACGTAAATCAGCAAATGCTGCAAATCAGTAATTTCAATGCCCCGCCCCCCCCGCCCCCCCCCCCCACCCCCCGTGAGCCTGCTGTTAAACATTTACCAGCTCACTACTGGACCTCTTTCTGCTTTAGGATACAGTGAGAGTGTTACATGGAATTGGGCTCTGTCAGAATGAAGCAGGGAAAAAAGAGACAGGTCACAAACGTAACAGAAATATCCAAACCCTTGAAACTCATGGTGTAGTTAGTGGCTGCTTTCGGGTGGTCTCCAAACCCTTGAAACTCATGGTGTAGTTAGTGGCTGCTTTCGGGTGGTCTCCAAACCCTTGAAACTCATGGTGTAGTTAGTGGCTGCTTTTGGGTGGTCTCCAAACCCTTGAAACTCATGGTGTAGTTAGCGGCTGCTTTCGGGTGGTCTCCAAACCCTTGAAACTCATGGTGTAGTTAGTGGCTGCTTTCGGGTGGTCTCTCTAGCTCACTGTGACCCCCTCCCTGAGAATTGCTCCCATGACACGGTTGCCTTTAGCAACCATGACGCCCTCCCATCACCAGTTTTTTACACGGGGGTGAACCCGTCATCTGAAGTGGGCCAATCAGATTCCCTCTCTTTTGGAATGTGAAATTGGGATTCAGTAATTTCCTGTTCGAGATGTCAGAAGAGAGCAAGTAATTGTTTCTCCTCTTCCGAGACTCCAATAGAGTATAAAGGAATAAATCCACAAATACAGAAGACAATCATTATCAAGCAAGATATTTCAACACATTTTTGGGAACCTACTGACAAACAAAACAGTGTGGGGAATAATCAGCCCAGACAGCCCAAGAGGCTACTTCAACAGAAAGGCCAACTTGCCCAACAGAATCCCTGGAAAGTCTCCAAGCTCGGTTGGTGGTTGGTAGGTACAAAATTCTACTTTCTAAATGACTGCATCCATTGTTCCTCCATGCGTCCCTCTCCTGTCCTCTCCACTATTCCTAGGAAGGCAGCCCTGTTCTTTACCTACAAGCAAAACAAAAGAGGATCCAGCTTAAAGAGAACTAGGACTGCTAGGGCAGATGTCAGTGTCTCAGAATAAAGACCTCTTCATTCTCGCATGTGGGGCCCTCCCAGCCCCAAATCTGGTATCCCACCTGGAAACTCCTCCTTTGTTTATTCTGAAGTGAAATCTGCCATTTGTTGAGCCCTGCTCACATCTACAAATTTCCCAGTCAAACATTATTTTTATGAAAGAGCAGTGTATTAGTCTGTCCTAACAGGTAATCTGTCCTCAGGTGAAGAAATACCTGAGACTGGGTAATTTATGAAGAAAAGAGGTTTAATTGGCTCATGGTTCACAGGCTGTACAAGAAGCATAAAGCTGGCATCTGCTAAGCTTCTAGGGAGGCCTCAGGAAACTTACAATCATGGTGGAGGGTGAAGGGGAAGCTGGCACTTCACATGGTTGGAGAAGGAGGAAGAGAGGTCAGGGAGGTGCCATGCACTTTTAAACAACCAGATCTCATGAGAACTCAGTATCATGACCACAGCACCAAGGGGATGGTGTCAAACCATAAGAAACTGCCCCCGTGATCCAATCACCTCCCACAAGGACCCACCTCCAACACTGGGAATTACAATTTGGCATGAGATTTGAGCAGGGACACAGATCTGAACCATATCCAGCAGGAAAACTGACATACACGTAAAACAACAAGGAAAACCCTCCTAGTTATCTAGAAACAAGCCAAGCTGCTCTCCTATGCTGAATTATGAATGGAAAAACAAAGCGAACCAGACCTCAGAATAAAATGAATAGCAAGAAAACAAAGCAAAACAGAATGAAACACAATAAACTGACCCTGAAACAAAGAAGATAATTAAGGGAACACAAGAGAAAATTGAAAAGCAAATAAATAAAAAGCACAAATATCTAATTAGTACCCTAAGTGAGAGTGAGAGGTGAGAACAAATTCATATAACAAGAACAGGGTACATTGAGAAAGGAACAAGGCAAAGAGACAAATGGTGCAAATGAGGCAACGAGAAAGAGCTCAGGTATGTTAAATGTACGACTGCCAAGGTGAAATTCTAAGTGGGAGGCGGCCATTTTCTCCACGTGGGATGGAATTCAGGGACATTTTAAAACTTAGGAGCTGGGTTTACCATCTTCCCCCATATGAAAGCATCAGCAGAGAAAACCGACCTTCAGAGAAGAGTAAATAAATAAATAAATAATAAACAGGAAACACAAAGAGAAAACAGAGCAAGAGCACAGCCCAGACTCCCAGTATCCTTCCAGTTCCCGTTCTGTGCTCCTGGAGATACCCCACTGCCTTTGGGTTCTGTGAGATACCTTAGTAACTTTTTAATAAATTCCGTTCTTGGTTCAAACTAGGTCAAGTTGCTTTTTGTTAGACAGAAGACAAAAGGGCCTTAACTAAGACAAAAGGTTGGGAAACTGGAAGGTGATCAAGTCTTAAGTCCCTTAGGATCAAACGTGACTAAATGGGGGTTCAGCAGAAGAATCAATCCAGCGAGAATCTCGTGTCCTTGTTCTTGTGGTTAACTTTTCCTAAATATTACCCTGACATTCAAATTATAAAGTTGGACAGCAGATGCCCCACATACAGTGTTTTCTGCATTTACATTCATTTTCTTAGCATCTTGAAAGAAAGATGGGGCTTAGCCTGCCAAATCTCTAAGCACCTTCTAATAACCTATTCAGACATCATACGGAAGGATTAATTGAACCATTTCACACATTAATACAGTAGCAAACAAATGAACCTACCTTTTCATGTATCCAAGGCAGCCTGGGAACGTTAAATGCAACTATTCTTGATTTACCTGAAAATAATATATTTTTATCCTTAAAGCCAGACTTGGGAAATAGCAACCACCACCACAACAATAAAAAACCACTCTGGAGAGAGAAAGAGAGCCACACATCAGCAATTCGAATGGCAGACCATGATATCAGTCCCTAGTTCTTGTCTTCCCTCCTCAAGATGTTTTGCCCAAATGTCCTTTCTGGGAGGCATTGGAAAGGAGGTTCAAAAAGCCAAAAGATACAGGAACCTTGGTGGGTTCTGATATGGGAAGAACATACATGTCCTGGTAGGGTTCCCCTAAAGGAGAGAAATGTGGATTTGATGGGAGTAAAAGACAAAGAAACGTTGTCAAGAAAATGGTCTCATAAAATGAAGGATGCAGGAATTCGGGAAGATGAGTTTCCTTATCCTAAAACCAGCTTTGCTTTTTTCAAACATACAGCAACTTGATTTTTCTTTGTTGATTTTGGTCTTGTTTGTTTGTTTGTATTCCAGGCTTGAGACAGTTGCCTTCTCAACCCAGCCACAGACCATGAATTTGTTGTTTAACCCAAATACAATTGAGTGTTGCAGGAAAGAGGAGAGGAAACATCTCACACCCAAGTGGCCCACGCCATAAACAAAGGGGAGTCTTACTGTGCCAGCTCTTGGCTTCAGCGAGGCCCAGCGGGAAGCCGATGTCCCTGTGCCAGGGTGAGGGCAGTCACCGAAGCAGATGCTGGGCCACTGAGAAGAGCGATTGATTTCAGAAGCTCAAATTCCTCAGGGTGGCCGCCGTCCTCCTCCCCTTGGTGGGAGGGCGGAGGTAGCTGGGAGCTGTGTTGGCCACCACTGGCTGCCAACGCAGCTCGAGTTGGGAGAGTTGTCGCCAGTCTCTGGCTGTAAGCAGGAGGTTTGTTAGGAATCAGCATTGTCTACTTATGAAGATTTATGGAGAAGCTGACAAACATTAAGCTTTGAAGCCGAAGTCAGGTGAGCCCTCTCCCCTTCGTGGAGGATTCAGCGAGGCAGCCTGGATGATCAAGAATGATTTCCTCTCCCCGCTGGTTCCCATTGGTATTCCAACTCTGGGCCTGGCCCAGGAGGAAAAGCAAGGGAGAAGCATGGCTTTCTGGCTCTCCTCATCCTTCTTCGGAGAGAAGGAGAGGGACTGGCACTTTTTGTGGCATTTCACACGGAGGGGGAAAGGCCAAGATAAATGGATAGTTTCAAGGTCATTAGCTTCCTGAGCTCACGGTGTGCTTTCTCTGCCAGAGGACTGCTTGGAGAAGTTATAAATGTTTTGCGGCTGGACCAGGGGAGCCCATTGTTGGATCTGGGGTCCTAAGACCTGCTGCCAGTGGCAAATCTGGACTCTGGGGCTGTGGAGTGTGCCTTCTCTCCCTTCACACACTCGCCCTGAAAGAGCTCGGGCCACAAAACGTGGACTCAGAGCACTTGGAAAGCTCTGGAGCCCTCGTCATGGGCGACTGCCCTGTGTGGAGGGGACCTGGGAAAGGCAGGCAGGGAAGAACTTAGAAAGGGCCTTTTCTCCTGGCATTCGCTCTTCCTAACCTGAGAGGAAAAAAGGCAGAAATTAGAAATGCAAAACCTTTAAAAAGAAGAGGAGGCAGCCTCGGCGGGCTGACAGTGAGTGGGGTGGAGGCCAGGAGGGTGGGGCAGGGCAGGAGGAGACTGTGAGATTAGCGATTCCCATTCCGGCTCCAGGCGCATTGGAGTTTTAGTTTTGTTTCTCTGAATCGCTTTCTGGACCCTCCAAGTTCTCCTGGACTGTGCCACATTCTCACTCCTCTTTTTAAATTCAATTTTTTTATTGTGCCCTTAAGTATTTGACGGAAAAAAATGGAACGTCAAGATTTTAATTATTTACTTCATTCCAGATTTCTCTCCAAGCCTTGAAATTGCACACTTACACATTTTTACATCAATGTGTGCACACTATATTGCATTCTGCTTCGTCCACATAATATGATTTATATATACGTAAGTGTATGTGAATATATGTATGTGCGTATATATATGTGTATATATGTGTGTATGTGTATATATAAATATACAGAGATAAGAGATAAGAATGATGTTTATGCTAATATATGGAGGTGTATACACACACACACACACACACACACTCATATGTATATGTATAGACCCTGTCACCTTCCTCAGTGAGCATCTTATCGGATCCATAATACACCTCCATGTATTCGCATAAACACCATTCTTACCTCTTAAGTGGCCATAGAATAGGTCACTGTACTGAGATCTTGGCTTGGTCATTCCACTATTCCTGGATATATTAAGGCCGAATTTCTATGTTTCTGCATCTATATCTATAATTTCAGCCCAAGATGGCTACATTCCAGACCAGAATGGTACATTTGTTGCAATCGATGAACTGACATTGATACATCACCACCCAGAATCCATAGTTTACATTAGGGTTCAGTCTTGATGCTGTAGATTCAATAAGTTTGGACACATTTGTAATCACACGTATCCACTTTTATAGTGTCATACACAGTACCTCCACTGCCCCAAAGTCCTCTGAGTATTTGGGCTGAATATTTATATACATATAGCTATAATTTCACCCCAAGATGAAATTTTATATATATTTTATTTCATTTATTTCATTTTTAGTTAAGGCCTGTCCCTTTTTTTTTTTTTTTTTTTTTTTGCATTACTTCTCTGGGTTATGGTCTTAGAGGTTCAATTACCAGGTCAAAAAATATAAACTTTCACAGTCCCTTATTACATACTATCACTTGTTCTTCAAAAAACAGAACCCAAACCCTGATACTGCAGTGTTGATAGCAGTGTCCAAATGAAGGCGTTTCCTCTCATCACAGTCAAGATTGATTTTACTACTTTTTATTTACTTTTGGAAAGGCTACCCTCTCCACTCCTTTTTTGCTTTAGTTATTTTTCCCCTGCTGCTCGTTTTTTCCAACCAAGTTCTGTATATTCTGTTTTCTCTCCACAGTTTATCGTCTACGGAAGCATCTAGCACTCTGTGCGATTGGTGAATGACTGGCCCCCACACACCTGCCACCCAGTAAAACGGCCAGGAGTGGTGCTTGCTGCTGGCCAGTGAAACAAGCACCTTTGAGGGCTTGACCTCCAGGCACAGCATGTCCAGCCAGGAAGGCCTCCTCACTCTGCTAAGTGTTGAGCCTGGGTGTTTTTCAGACTCACTTTCAGGGCACCGTGAGTGGGTGGGGAGGCGGCGGGGGGGCAGAAGGCGAAGCACTAACCACAGCCCGTGCTGTCCATCTGCTTCAGCCTCTGGTTATGGGAAGCCAGGGAGTGGGGATGGTAGGATTTCCAGAGGGATCTCACTCCCCCCGGGTTTGCTGATTAGAAAAGACACTTGGGGCGCGGGGGCTCACGCCTGTAAATCCCAGCACTTTGAGAGGCCAAAGCGGGTGGATCATCTGAGGTAAGGAGTTCAAGACTAGCCTGGTCAACATGGTGAAACACAGTCTCTACTAAAAATACAAAAATTAGCCAGGTATGGTGGCGGGCGCCTGTAGTCCCAGCTACTCGGGAGGCTGAGACAAGAGAATTGCTTGAACCCGGGTGGCAGAGGTTGCAGTGAGCCGAGATCACACCATTGCACTCCAGTCTGGGTGACAGAGCAAGACTTTGTCTCAAAAAAAAAAAGACACTGGGGCCAGACAGCCCATGCCAATCACTGTCTTTCCCTTCGACTGAAGACGCAGGCACACTGCTTCCATGGAGGTGAACAAGAACAGGCCACTTTCTGCACATTCTGCAGGACTGAAAAAGCACACCAGGGTGTTTGTTTGTTTATTTGTTTGTTTTGTTTTGTTTTGAGGTGGAGCCTGGCTCTGTCGACCAGGCTGGAGTGCAGTGGCGTGACCTTGGCTCACTGCAAGCTTCGCCTCCCAGGTTCACGCCATTCTCCTGTCTCAGCCTCCTGAGTAGCTGGGACTACAGGCGCCCGCCACCATGCCTGGCTAATTTTTGTATTTTTAGTAGAGATGGGGTTTCACCATATTGACCAGGCTGGTTTCGAACTCCTGACGTTGTGATCTGCCCACCTCAGCCTCCCAAAGTGCTGGGATTGCAGGAGTGAGCCGCCGCACCCAGCTGAGTGGTTTGTTCTTTGTGGGGAGGTGTACAGGGGCTTGGAGAGAGCACTGAAATCAGAGATTTCTTGCTGGGTTCAGAGCTCATCAGTTTGAGATTTAACCAATGAGCAGGCACCGATAAAGTAAAATGCAAGAATGAAAACAAAAGTTAGAAATGGCATTTGCAAAGTCCTGGGTAACTTTTGGTGCTTGTATGTTGCTTGGGCCTGTCTGTAGTGGTGGGTTTATGATGTCCATAAATGTGCTATCTGAGCAATTTAATTTGTGGGTGCTTTATGAAAAAGCAGCAGAGAGACTTCTAAAGCAGATGATGTGACTAGCATTCAAAGGACCTGCAGGGTTTCCTCTGGAGCAGACCCTGTCACCTTTCTTGGTGAGCATCTTGTCAGATCTGTCCACACTCTGTGCCCTGTACAGCGCTGACGGCAGAAGAGGCTGTGATAAGCAGGTGATGAACAAATGAATGAGCAAGGATATGCTTACTGTTCTCACTTTAATGATGAGGAGATCTCATCAAGAAGATATTCAGCAGCTTGCACCAGGGATGTGGGTACTTAACTTGGAAACCTGGACTTGCATCGGCCCACATGCCCTCTGGCCTGGCCTTTTCCACTTCCTTGTCTTGTGAGCTGGTGAGGACTAATTTTTGCTTGTGCTTTCATAGGACCAAATGGGAGAAATTCCGTTAAAGCAACATAAAGAACTTATTCGCCATCCAGGCAGCATGCAGCAAGGGCAAATTCTGGAATCCCTCCCCCAGGAAAGATGTTTTTAAAGAAAGAACAGCTCAGTCATCCGTTCTAGACAGTATTACCCCATCACTTAGCATTTGTATGGCTTTAAGCTCTTCACGGAGCATTTTCATCTGTAGGACTTCATTTGATTTGCATAGCAACTCTGTAGCTATAGGTATTGTTGCATTTTCTGGTAAGAAAACCGAGATGCAGAGCAGCTGTGTTCTCTCCAGGATCACACAGCTAGCGAGAGGCAGAGCCAGTATTTCCCATAAGCAGTCAACACTGAAGATTAAGGCTGGGTCCCCAAGACTGTACGACCTGGGGATTGTAATAATTGCTAACATGAAGCACTAGTGTCGCTAGCATGTTGTATGTTAACTCATCTGACTCACAGCAACCCTACGAAGTGGGCACCATCCTCACTCCTATTTCTCAGATGAGAAAATTGAGGCACAGAGAAAATAATAACTTGTTGAAGGACACCCAACTGGTAAGTTGCAGAGACATGAGTTGAATCCACAGGGTTCTTCACCACTAATCACCTGTCTCCAAAAACAGGTGAAGATGCCGTGATCACGGTTCCCACGTGGCATCTGGAGGGTCCTCTCGCTTACTCAAGGACAGTGGCAGAGTGTGCCTCTGTGGGCCTTGAAAAGCTGGGAATACATCACCCACAGAGGAACTGACCTCACATCTCAGAAGCCTTTAACAACCTTAAGTCCTGAACTGCCCAGAACAGAGAGAGGAACAACAGCATCTAAAGCTGAACCAAAACAAGTGAGAATGAACTGTGGCTGTGTGTCCTCTGCTCAGCCCCAGATGACATGAGGGTTTCTCAAAGCACAAGGAACTGCACAAGCAGCACCTGGGGAAAGGTGCACCGTCGCTCAGCATTATGGAGGTGGGCCCAGGCTGCCCAGGGCTGAGCGTGGGCCTGTGCGGTGTCCCTAAGAGAAAGCAGGGAACCCTACAGGACTACAGAAACATAGACAGAAACTGTTCATAACTGATGCCTCAGTAGTAAACCTGACACACTGGGGGACTCTCTTAGCCAGAAGAAAGGGGATTGCTTTTGCATTTTTCTTTGAAACTATTTGCTACAGGCGAGGAGCTGCCATCCCCCAAATGTCAGAGAGGGGACAGGGGTCTGCAGAGTTGCTGGATGAAGTGACTTGGCCCTTGTAGCAGAAGGTAAATTGGCACAGCTCCGTGAGGCCTGAGCTGCCGAGGTAACACGCATGACTGCTCCCGACAGCAGCATGGGCTCTGACACCGAGCCCGGGGAGGCCTGGCGGCTTGGAGATTGGGGACTGGTGCCGAGCATCCTGGAGTTGGACAATTGGCCTGCTCGTGGTTGGGCCACCGTAGGCTGCTGCTAGTTCCGGCTTTTGCTGGGTACCATTTTTCCTTTCCAGAATCCTCTCTGTTTACAGTTCCCTTATCTTCCCCTTCTGTTTCCATCCTTGTTTTATATGAAGAATGAGGCTACATATTCAAGGCTTCTCTTCCCAAATATCCAGTCAATTAACTTCTTTATTTATTAATTCATCTATTAATCAATCATGATTAATATCCTATCATTGAGTAGCCGCTGACTATATGCTGAGCCCTGTGCCAGGCCCTGTATACACCGCACAGAGGTGAGTAAAACATGGTACCTCCCCTGGAGGAGTTACTAGACTTAATTTGGGAGGTCAAAAGCAAAAATCAGTTTCAGTAAGAAAATAATTAGGCAAGGATCCGTGAACTGCTGTAACTCTGAGATCCAGAAGAAAGGGCTGATTCAGTGATCCCAGGAAGGGCAGCCCTGGTTGCCATCCCCTAATATGACCACCCCCATACTCCCCTCTGGCTTCAGAGAGGTGACAGGGGTTGAAATGGAAGCACACTGGAGTCTGGTTCCCTGGCATTCCTAGAGACTTCCATCTGACACTTTTCCAGCTTTTCTAAACTACCTAAGGGCCTCAGAGAGGCAAGCTGTGGAAGGCTGGCCCATCCAGGTCTCCTCCGCAGGGAGGAACGCAGGCAGGGGCGGTAACGGCTACCCAGGAGGACACATTTTTTGAAGATACATCACTTTAGTGAGAATACTTTTATGAAGGATTTGATATCCTTTGCTGTAATCTTGGAACAAACCTACAAGGTGGACACAGTTATTTCCACTCTGCACATGGAGCAGCCTGAGGCCCTGAGGCCCAGAGAGGTTAAATACTCCACGCCTGGTCTCACAGTGAGTTACAGACACGGCAAGTATTTCATCTCACGTAGCAGAGGTTCTCCAAAGACAGACAGGAGGTTCTTGTCAGCTGTTCCATGGATGACCGTAGAATTGGACCACCAAGACTTGCGCAAGATGATTTTAAAAAGGATTGCCATGGAGAGATCTCTCATTCTCGATGAAAGGTGATGTAGAGTTTTTTTAAATTTTTGGGGCTTCTGGTTTTTGTTCATTTCTCTAAGGAGAGTGTATGGAGAATGAGAACTTTGCCCTACGTTCCTGGACACGGGAAATAACTTGAGGTTGTGCCAAGCCTGCACGGCTATAGCTGAGTGGCTGCAGCTGGGGTTAGTTTGTTAGATTTGCCTGATCAGTCACAGAGCAAGTACCTGAAGAAAGGACATGTACATTATGATGAGGACGGAGGAAGGGCCTTCCTGATAGTGCACAACCCAATGGAAGGAGCTTGTGGAATGGGGATCAGGGGTGTTCCTGACACCAGGTGACAGGATGGTGCCAGAAACCTTTTGGAGTTATAGTGTTGGCTTAGAGCTGGCCCAGGAGAAAACAGATTACAAAGTTTAAGTCTTTGAAAGAAACTTCGAGAACATATAGGCCACCTCTCTTGTTTTCCAGATGAAGAAACAGAGAGGTCAAGTGACTCGTCCACAGCTGCAGAGGTCATTAGAGATACAGCTGAGTCTTGGCTGCTGATTTTTCAACTTCCTATCACGAGCTATTTCTATCATATGGTATTCTAGACCAGAGATCAGCAAATTCTTCCTGTAAAGGGCCAAATAGTGAATATTTTAGACTGGGTGGGCCATACAGCTTCTGTGGCCACTATTCAACTCAGCTGTTTTAGCCCCAAAGAAGCCATTGACAGTATATAGACAAATGTACATGGCTATGTTCTAATAAAACTTTATTTTAAAAGGTAGGTGGCAGGCCCAATTTGGCCCACAGGCCATAGTTTAATGGCTCCTGCTCTAGATATTTCTCTTCCTCAAACATACCCTCCATGGTAAGGAAATTGTCACAGTTTAGAGGTGGTTTGAAGGATAGCACTTCATCTTCCAAAATTCAGGGCATTAGAGCACTCAAGCAAGATTTGGTGCTATGTCCTTAAAAAGGAGAAAAGAAGTAGGGTGCCAGTTTTGTGAACATGAGCAAAAAGATTGTTTGTGGCCTAGTGCAGTGGTTCATGCCTGTAATCCCAGCACTTTGGGAGGCCAAGGACGGTGGATCACTTGAGGCCAGGAGTTCAACACCAGCCTGGCCAACATGGCAAAACCTGGTCTCTATTAAAAATACAAAAATTAGCCAGGTGTGGTGGTGCACACCTGTAATTCCAGCTACCCGGGAGACTGAGACAGGACAATTGCTTGAACCCAGGAGGTGGAGGTTGAGTGAGCCGATATCATGCCACTGCACTCCAGCCTGGGCGACAGACAGACTCTGTGTCAAAAAAAAAAAAAAAAAAAAAAAAAAAAAAGGAAGGAAAGAAAGAGAGAGAGAGAGAGATTATTTGAGGAAAGAAAGAGTAAAGAGAGATAACCCTCACACTTGATACCTTATAGCTCAAAAAGAATCACAAACGAGGTGTGATGTCCAATTATGAGGCAGGAGTAATGCATGTCAGCTTTCCAATGACCTTTAGTAAGCCTCTCCTTAATTTTAGAAGGGGTTCAGATTATAGTTGATTAAAGAACTAAAATGGATAAATAATTGTTCCCCGGAACCACCCCGCTCATCTCCTTGTGGGCAAATAGGTTTATAAAAACTCAGTCCACAGCTTGAAGGTGTCTGACTATGTTACAACCCAGCCCAAGGACAAGGGGAAGAAGGAGCATTCAGGGAGACGTGGTGAGAATGCAAGAAGCTCGTACTCAACACAGTGGTGTGTTCAATAGAGGGAAAATGACCCTAAGACCCTGCAGTGATGGACTTCTATGAGTTTCCAAGTTTGGAACCTCAGGATTCTTGATGGGCTAAATCTTCAAAACCATGTTAATTTTCTTTAATGGCATCACTTTGTCTTTAGAATCCACATCTTCCTGATAGGTGATATCCTCTCTTCTTCATCAGAAAAATGACCTTCCAAACTCTTAAGACTCAAGATTTCCTAATGAAAATACTCCAAAGCGGCTCCTAGTCTCATGAAGTTTGACTCACTTGAAAATATCTAGCACGTACAGAGTAATAAATTGTATCGCCCCTTCCAATTCTGAAACTAAAATCTACACAATTCCAGCCTCTGCCAACTTCCTGTTTTCCCGTCGTGGAGCAGACTAAGAGTTCCTGGAGCCTGGAAGACACACAGCTCCCCTCAAATCTTCCCGCCCTTGTCCCTCCATCCGGGAGCAGGCAGGTGAGCGGTGGCCACAGCTGTAGTCTTTGGGTGTTTTGAAACTGATTATCGGATTCCTTAGATGCAACTTTTAATGGGACACAAGTCTAGCTTTACAGATAGGCTCAACACGAACCGTTTGAATGACTCCTTCAGAGCTTAGGGGAAAGGGTGCTGATGGTAACTACTATCTGAGCATCTATCTGAGAAGCATCATGCTAATGGTATTGGCTATCACTTAAAGTTTTTGACTGTCTTTACCCAAGTCAGTTATTTCTTCAGGGGTTGCAAAATGGTTACTTTCTTTTTTTGAGACGGAGTCTCCCGCCGTTGCCCAAGCTGGAGTGCAGGGGTGGGATCTTAGCTCACTGCAACCTCTGCGTCCCGGATTCAAGCGATTCTTATGCCTCATGATTAGCTGAGATTACAAGCGGCCACCACCACGCCCGGCTAATTTTTGTATTCTTGGTAGAGACAAGGTTTTACCATGTTGGCCAAGCTGGTCTCAAACTCCTGACCTCATGATCCACCTGCCTCTGCCTCCTAAAGAGCTGGGATTACAAGCGTGAGCCACTGTTCCTGAACAGTACTTTAAGTTTTTAAGTCATCTCATGCTCAGAGGCAGCGCTCTTTCAGGCTTTCAGCCTATGAGTCTATGCTGCTCCTGTGAACCCCTCTGGCACTCACTTTATCTGTTCCCTATCTTCTCCCTTTTGGAATGTTTTTGACTACTCTGAGAGGCAATTAAAAATGGTGGTGGGCTGGGGCAGTGGCTCATACCTGTAATCCCAGCACTTTGGGAGGCTGAGGCGGGCGGATCACTTGAGGTCTGGAGTTCGAGACCAGCCTGGCCAACATGGTGAAACACCATCTCTACTAAAAATACAAAAATTAGCCGGGTGTGGTGGCGCGTGCCTGTAATCCAAGCTACTCGGAAGGCTGAGACGGGAGAATCGCTGGAACCCAGGAGGCGGAGGCTGCAGTGAGCCAAGATGGTGTCACTGCACTCCAGCCTGAGCCACAGAGTGTCTCAAAAAACAACAACAACAACAAAAAACAAGTTGCACAAATTCCCATTAGGTTACTTCAACTTCATTCTGGATTCTGTGAAGTGAATTTTGAAGGCTAGGAGCTGATTCTGTTTTATCCGAGTAGAAGGAATATGGAAACATTTCTGCCTTGCCCTTCATGTTTGATTGATACGTTTCACTTTGAAAGTTAATTATATCTGATGCGAAGGAAAGAAGGAAAGATGCGAAGGAAAGAAAAATAGATGCTCTTTTCATGAGTTTTCACTGTGAAAATTCGGGTCATCTGTTCAGTTTTCTCATGCCTCAGTTTACTCATCTCCCAGCTAAGGTAATATTCCTGGTTTTCAGAGGAGAGGAGAGGACCAGGAATTGGAAATCCTGCCATTTGCAACAACGTGAGTGAACCTGGAGGACACTATACTCAGTGAAATAAACCAGGTACAGAAAGAAAATACTGCACGATCTCTTTTCTGTGCAGAATCTAAAAGAGTCGAACTCATAGAAACAGAGAGTAGGAGGGTGGTTATCAAGGAACTGAGTCATTGCAATCCATGGTCTCATAGACTTAGTCCTCCAAGGTTGCTCTGTCTGACCCTTCACTCATTTTGGGAAAGCTCTTCAGAGTGTCCCTGACCAGTGACGTTCAGCTCCGGAGTGACTCTTCCAGGGACCAGAGACGTCCAGATTCAAGGCAACCATTTCATGTCCGAATAGGTCTAATTGTAAGAATGTTCTTCCTCGTACTCCAACACCTTCCTGAGGTATCTACCTGTTGGTTTAAGTTCTGCCTTTTGAAGCAAAGTAAAAACAGATGGGATCTTTCCCACATTTTGTCTCTTCAGGTTTGACTTCTCTTTCATAGGTATAGTTGTAACTTGTTTGTGGTGCGCTGTAGAAGAGCATTTTGACAAAATAAATGTGTCATTATATTTGTCACATTCAGTCCTGTTATTAGTGAACTCCCAATTAAACAAAGACATGTTCTGGTGATGTCGGGGGCCTATTGGGTATGCTTGCTCAATACACAAGGCTTCTGAGACACAAGGAATTCCATTTCTGTACCACACATCCCTAAGCCCTGACTGGATGATAACTGTTCTCTCATCTGCCATGTTCGCACAACTAATGAGATGGCTGCACTGCAAGGGTCGGACCAGGAAGAAAAGGACCTACCAGTTTTCAGGAAACTTTCAGATGAGACACCTTGAATACCTTTATAAATGGTAGTATTTAATCAAGAAACTACAGCACCAGCTAGGAGAGGTTTTTACCTAAGACCCTGACTTTAGGGCTGGAAGAAATATCATTCATTTATTTGTTCAACAAATATTTGTTGAGTATCTACTACGTGCCATGAAATGTTCTAGATGTTTGTTCTGTATCAGAGAGTAAACGGACAAAAATTCCTGTACTTATAAATCTTACGTTCTGGAGAGGGGACTTTAAAAATATGCATTACAACATTATAATAAGTAAGTAAATCACATTGTAGGTGAAAAAGTGGCAAGTTATTTAAAGAGAAAAAAAACAGAACAAAGTTAGCAGCAAGAATACTGGAAGGCAGTGGTGACCGCGGTGATTGCAAACAGGGTGTTAGGAGGGGCTTCTGGGAGAAGGTAACAGCTGGACCAAGAGACTTACTAGGAATGACCAGGAAGGTGGCAAAACGCTAAGAGAAAGTAAAACATAAACCTGTTATCTTGAGTATTTTAGAAGTCATAGTTGAAGTGATGGAGAGTTGCCTTTAAAATGCTACCTGTGATTTGGTCTTTGTAAACCAAGCTTTGTGAAAGGAGATCTTGTCATGGTGTGGTTATTCATGCCGAGATGTCTGCTGGGCTGAGTGTGGGCGATGCACAGAGGGGAGAGTGATGTGCAGAGGGTAGAGCGATGTGCAGAGGGAAGAGAGTGATGTAAAGCCAAGATGTGATTTGTGCAACTCTGGATGATTTGAGGGGAAACCTACAGGGTCAGAGTCACAACCTAAAGGGACTGCCCAAGGCAGGAAGGATGGGGCTGATCCAAGAGGGCGCCTCCGCAGCACAGAAAGGGACAAAGAACCCCACCAGTGTAATCAAAGATAAGAAAAAGGCAGAAAAAAGAATTCTTAGTCCTGCCTATTTTAACTGAAGGAATAGTTAAAATATACCTCACAGGCTATATCTCTCTGCACTGGTCTGAAAGCAGATGAAAGCAGGGAGATAAATCAGGGAGACACTCCCCCCACACATATACACACCCTCCCCAAATTGAGCTGAGGAGGAGGTATTTGCATATTCTCTTGGTTTCTATCACGGTTAGAAATGTTGGAAAGGGTGTACCTAGGGCCTAACTCCTAAGGAAACTTACTGCTGAGCCAATAGACAGAGCATAGATTCAAAAGCATGCCTTGGGTCTCGAAAGGGAAAGGATAGGGCCTTTGTCAGGAGAGACTGTCATCTCAAGGGTTAAAGGTCTATTGAAAAGGAGATCAAAAATTGGGAGCACATAAAGGGGATGGTCTTATTCTTTGAGTCTTTGGGATCATCCTTGCAACAGATCTCTACTGTGGACTGTGGACTGTGGACTGTGGACTGTGGACTCTGGACTGCCCTGATGCTCCCTCCACCACAGGACAGCTTCCTTGGGCACCTAAATGAGTTTTGTGTGCTCTATTGTGAGGGAAATACAGAGATACCAGATAGCCAGGGAGGGGGGGTGGGGCGGGGGGGAGGAACTTAGGTCCCAGGAATTCAGGGTCTAATGAATGGGATCCTCACCACCAACACACAATGCTTCTCCATTAGGCAACAAGGTATTAAGGGGCCTATGAAATTATTTGAGAATTGAAACATTTATTGGCCCCAAAAGAAAACTATACAATTGAAATTAATACATATTTTATTTGCAGAAATGGCATTATGGCTATCTCGATTGCTAAATTCAGTATTAATAAAAATGACACTGCACTTGAAAACAATGTATAGGTTTTTCTGTCTTGCAGGCAAGAATTCCTAAGTAGGCACAAGAACTGCCAGGAAACCACTGCCAATCATGATTTAAATTATTCATAGCCAAAAAATTTCAAAAGCAAAATCATAATTTTAAAATTTATTTTTATAGCAAAAAAAAAATACCCTCTATATTTAATGCGGGATGGAAGTAGATTCTAATACGTGTGATATCGAGTGGGGTTGGGACCTCCAAAAGTGACAGGGTCTAGGACTGAGAAGGTGTGAACATAGTTCTAACCTAAGGTCATATGTTGGATGTCAGGGGAACAGGCATCTCTTTAATTTGTACAGTTGGAAAGCTGAAGGTATATAAAGATAAAATAGCAGTTCTATTATAGGCATTAAAGAAAAGGTCTCCAGTTCATGCGCCAGGGTTGTGGGTTAGGTAAGCCACTTTGCTCCAGCTTTCTGGGGGCCAGCTCTGCCCAGCCTCCCACCCTCACCCCAACCTCCCTCCTCTTTCTATAACGTGGCCTCATTCATTTACTTCAGTAGCTCCTTTCTGGAACAAATTCTCACATTGCAGTCCTTTCCAGAATGCTACAGTAACAGAGTTCTCAAAGGCTTTGATTGATGGGGTTTGAAACACTCTTTCTTTTTGGAAATATTTATATTTGATCCCTTTTGGACAGACTGCACATAACTAGAGCTTATCACATTGCTGAAAATGATGGGCAGAGTCTGAGAGACAGGAACCCTGAGTCGGCCGAGCCCTGGGAGAGCAAAGATTAATATCCATTTGTGCTTTGCTGTCCTCAACCCTGATAACTGTAAATAACGTTTGGAAAAGATCGGGGTGCATCATGATCTATTACATGGTGGCGACGATTCTGGTTGTTATGTCTTCCACAGTGATTTATCATTCTCTGCAGTGACACAAATCATGGTCCTTGCCTGCCACTCTGGAATGTATGATCTGCTGACTGGAACAGTGATGAATTTGTGTTTATATCATAACATTTTTAACCTGAGCTTGACCTGACCTCCTGCTCCAATTTGGGAATGTACTAAAAATATATTTTTGTAAACCTCTATGGTTTTGCTGGCTGGTGTTAAGATAGAAAACACTTTTCCTCTTTTGGGGGGGACTAATGTGAAGTGGTGCAAATAATAAGAAGGTCAAATTGTGGATAAAACATTGTCTCAATTGTTTTCTTACCTGTAAGAGATCGGTATAATCTTGCCTTGTTCCAGCAATCGGCATCCTCAGAGCTGTTAAGCAGAAGGCCCTGGTAGTTTCTTTTTTCAAGACCTGGAAACCAAGAAGTGTCTACTAATCTCTCTGTGTCTTTGTTTGAAGTGTGTGTGGGCTCTTGTGGACAAGTGTCTGAGTCTGTGTGCGTTAGTTGCTCCATGAGGGGCAGGTGAGTGAATCCAGGCCCTTCAGGCTGCCCTTTAAGGCAATACTTTTCTCTGAAATAGGGTCCAGGGACTTAAGATCTTTGAAAGCTCTACATGAAAATGCTATATATTTTTTTCAACCACATTTCTTTCTGCGAAGTGTGGGAGTTGCATGAAATACAAAAAATAAAAATAAAAAAATTTAAAATCTCATCATTCCTTTCTGAAATGATCTTTGTATGCTATTCAAATTGATTGTCTTTTTTTATTTTTTAAATTCATATGAGGAACCCAAGGATCTGGGGTTAAGAAATGATATTTGAATTGCAACTGTTCACATGTAAATGGGCGACTTAGAAAGCAAATGCATTTTAGACCAAAAACTTTTTTTTAAGGTATTTTGCTAGATTCTCAGTTTAGAGACAGAATGTGCAATAACCTGGCAAAGCAGTGGAGAAGGGGACGTTTTTCCAAGTGTCCCACCTTGACCACAGCATTGCCCCCTCAACTCCTCATCGGTCATGGGCTCTAGGCTTGGCTTGTCCAAAGCCCTCACAGTCTCCTTGGTCACTCACAGACTGTCTCCTGTTTTCAAATGCCTATCAGTGAGCTAAGATGACAAATTTGCCCGTGATCATGTGCTGAAGTGATATGGATTTCAGCTGAAGCCTCCTGGAATCAACTCTCGTGGCACTGCCGAAGCCTGTGGTGACTTCGAGGGTGGAATCTCAGGTGAGCGTGGATCCAGGGAAAAGTGGAAGCACATTGGTATCAGTCAGACCCCTCATCTCATCTGACAACGAAGAGGCAAACACTTATGCCACCTTATTTTTCCAATTTTTAGATGGAGAATCCTGAGTCACTCTCAAAACAATAGAAATTTCACAAGTATCAGACTGACACGAGTTTGCTTATTGCAAACCCGGAGGAAGAGAAATGACAATGAATTTTCAATACATAGCAGTACTTTGCACAGTACTTTGTCACATATAGTGGGTTATTAATACCACCCTGGAGCCTTGGCACGTACAGCTCTTCACTACATTCTACTTTTTCATAAACATCTTATCTCATCCAGCCTCACAGAACTCCTAATACTTTGCAGAACCATGAAATTCAACACTCCACCTTCACTGGATAGTTCTTTTTCAAAGCCCAATCTTCCTGAAACTCACTTTCTATTACAACAACATTAATTGCTATTTTATGCACATACACAGACTGACTTCTTCACAACTTTACTTCCTGGTAACTTACAAGTGCACTGGTTGACAGCATCCTCAATCAGCAGAGTCATTTCCATATCCTGGACATATACATTGATCAGAAAAGATGACAATTTATTTTTAGACAGACGCAGCCTGCATAATTTAAATATATTTCCCATTTGGCAAAAATGGTGTTGTAGCTAATGTATGTACAATATTTCCAAAAACATTGGTACTTTCCCATAAATATCTTCCATATTTTTTTTCAGTGAGTAATAAAAAAGGTTGAGGTGGGATGTGTTTTATCCCACCACATTATATCATTCCTATTTTTCCTCTTTGTTGGATGGCAATCAGGGGCCCTGATGCCAAGCTTTGGAAGCAACAGCATCTGGTTCCTTGGCAGATCCTGCAGGCAGACTTGTTGCCAGCCTCTAAGCTGTGGCTGGGTCTGTTGCATGGTTTGGCTGCAGATGGACTCTCTGGGTTGCCTCGTGCTTCTGGAAGCCAGTCCTGGCTTTCCTTTGATTCTGAGGACTTTACTCATTTTTATTCATTTGTGAAGAAGGGCCCATCCAAACGCTTTATGAAACCAACACTGGGGAACATTAATGGATCAAATTTTGCCTTTGAAAAGGCAGAGGTCAGTGTGTTTGGGGGCAGGAGGCGCAGCGTTCTGAAGATGTGAGTGCACATGTGGATGCTTCCTCCCATGAACTTCTATTCTAAGGAGCTTGGACGGTGGCCAGTTATGTGTTACCATTTCTCGCTTCCCCAGGATGAGGCTGTGTGGTTACCTGGAAAGACAGAAACACTGGAGAGCTCAGGCTTCCTCAGATCAATAAAACCTCCCATTTCTTTTGTCTTTTAAGTGAATCAGACCCTGAGGAAATGAACATGCACAAGGAAATTCCGGGTGCCTTCTCCCCTGTACCATTTCATTGTCCCTGTGAGTATGGGATTACAGCATGGCTAGAAAGAAGGGTGGACATGAAGTCTTAATCTACTCCAAACTGAGCATACACATTAAAGCCAGATCACTCCCATTAATGTTCCCTGAGACTCTGGCCTCTAGGGAAGGGTTTTCCAGTTTTCTTAGAATTATGAAACCCCGTCACCATTGATTTTGTTTATCACTTTGATCAACTATAAAATTCTATGCCACACACACACATACACACCTATACCTTAATGAAAATATAATTTAGTATGTTCTAAAGATTATTATCTATTTCATGATATTTCTTGAGTGCATTTGCCCTCTTCCTGATTCATTTATTAATAGCTATTTATTGAATACCTATTACTTGTTAAACACAAAATCCTGCTTTCATGGGGTTTACTTTCTACTAGGGGATACTGGGAAAAAAAATTATCAAATCAGTTAACAAGATAATTTTAGATAGTGATAGTGCTATTAGAAAACTGAAACTGCGATTTGATAAAGGTGTTTGTGGGGTAAGAAGAGAGCTATTTAAGACTGGTAATATTTCTGGGTATATATATAAAGGAAATAAAATCACTATCTTGACGAGATATTTGCACTCTTATTTTCATTGCAGCATTATTCACAATGGCCAAAATATAGACCCAACCTAACTGTCAATGGATGGATGGAGGAAGAAACGCAGTGTGTGTCTATGTCCATATCCTAGACCTATACATTGACCAGAAAAGACGACAATTTATTTTTAGGCAGACACAGACTCCATAATTTAAATATATTTCCCATTTGGCAAAAATGGTGTTGTAGTTAATGTATGTTATGTGTGTATGTATGTGTATATATATACATATATGTTTTTGTATATGTATCTATACATATATGTATGTGTGTATATATATACACAGATATACATACACATACACATGTACAATGAAATATTATTCAGCCTTGAAAAAGATGGAAATCCTGCCATTTGCAACAACATGAATGAACCTGGAGATCATTATACTAAGTGAAATAAGCCAGACACAGAAAGATAAATACTGCACAATCTCTCCTCTATGTAGAATCTAAAGGAGTTTTACTCTTAGAAACCGAGTAGGAGGGTGATTAGCAAGGGTTGGGGAGTGGGGTAGATAGGGAGACATTTGTCAAAGGGTACAAACTTGCAGTTATAAACTGAGTAAGTCCTGGAGACCTAAAGTATAGCATGGCAACTATAGGTAATAATAATATATTACATACTTAACACTCACTAAGGGAGCAGATCTTAAGTATTCTTAACACACACACACACACACACATACACACACACACAAGGTAACTGTGTGAGGTGATACATTCATTCGCTTGATTGTGGCAATCATTTCACAATGTATGCATATATCAAAATATCACATTATATACCTTGAATATATATATATATAATTTTGATTTGTCAGTTATGCCTCAGTCATGCTGGGGGTGGAGGAAGAGATTGATTGGGAAGGATCACTCAAGGAAATGACATTAGATCTAAGACTGAAACTACAGAAAAGATCCAGCTATGATCTAGGAAGGCCTAGAAGAGGAAGTAGCCAAGGCAAAGGCAGTATTGGGGAATAGTCTTTGCACATTTGAGGTGCGAAAAGACATTAGATATGCCACTAGAGCTCTAGGAGAAGAGCGGTAAGGACCCTGATGGAGAGCTCGGCAGGGGCTAGGTCACATAGCGCTTGCTGCATCATTGTGGCTCACGGGAAAAGACTTGGAGTTGATTCTAACAGCAATGAGAAGCCATTGGTAGTTTTAAGTAGGGGAACTACAAGATTAATTTATATGTTTAAAAAAGGTCACTTTGACTACTGGGTAGAGGAGTAAGAATAGAAGCAGGGAACCCATTAGAAGGTTGTTATAATAGAACATAAGTTGGTTTTAGATCATAATGATGCTATTAACATTTATTAAACACTTAACTATGTGTTAGGGGACTGGGCATGCTTTATCTTAGGTGATCTTCACCATAACCTCTGACTTAGGGATTATCTTCCCCATTTAATAGGTGAAGAAACCGTAGGATTTCAACCTGTATATGTCTCATTTGGGTAGGCTTGCTGCCTCTTCATGCTATGCAACCAAACTGGAATAGACAACCATTACTTTATTGTTTCTGTATGCCTTCAAATAAGAAAGAGATGATGATACAAATACATTCAGGCCAGGCACGGTGGCTCACGCCTATAATTCCAGCACTTTAGGAGTCTGAGGTGAGAGGATCACTTGAGTCCAGGAGTTTGAGGCCAGCCTGGGCAATGTAGTGAGACCTTGTCTCTACAAAAAATTTAAAAAATTGTCTGAGCACAGTGGCTTGTGCCTGTGGTCCGAGCTACTCAGGAGGCTGAGGTGGGAGGATCACTTGAGCCCATGAGGTCAAAGCTGCATTCAGATATCAAAGCCTTACATGTCATTTAAGTGAACAAAGTTCCTTCACAAGCTCTATTTGGGATTGAAAAAAATACTATGGCAGATATCTCTAAGAAAACAGGAAGAACTCAGACAACAATCTCAGGTAATCAAGGCTTATAATACCTTTTTGTGCAATTAAGAGTGATAAATGAGGCCGGGCGCGGTGGCTCATGCCTGTAATCCCAGCACTTTGGGAGGCTGAGGTGGGCGGATCACGAGGTAAGGAGATAGAGACCATCCTGGCCAACATGGTGAAACCCTGTCTCTACCAAAAATACAAAAAAATTAGCCAAGCATGGTGGTGTGCGCCTATAGTCCCAGCTACTCAGGAGGCTGAGGCAGGAGAATCGCTTGAACCCAAGAGGCGGAGGCTGCAGTGAGCCAAGATAGTGCCACTGCTCTCCAGCCTGGGCAACAGGGTGAGACTCTGTCTCAGGAAAAAAAAAAAAAAAGCAATTCTATTTCAAATCCCCAAAAGCTGGGTTTCCCTAGACGTGCTCACACAGGTTTTTACCTCACTCCTAAATTCCAATGGCTTCTTAAATGCTCTTATGTTTGAAATTTACCTGTGGAACATGGAAAATAATTTCTTCCCCTGAATTTATCAAATGGTAGATTTCATACCCCTTTTACTCACCAAAGTTATCTATTTACTCGAGCTGTAAACTTCCAGAGAGATTGAGAAAATTAAGTTCTAATAGACCCAGATGTAGCAAAGGGTTCTTACGAATATTTACTCTTGTTATTCTTGCACATGTGACAAAAAACACAAAAGAACTATAAGATCCCACCACTGCCACAGAAACATGACTAACTCATGGGGGAAACAGGCAATATGGCGTTTGTCTTGTCATCTGAGCTCTCTTAGATTTTCATACCCATGGTAACCTTGGGCAGAAGAACACTGTTCTCAGATCACATTACTTAATTAGCTTCATGAACTCTTCTTTTTAAAAAATCATTACAAATGTCAAGTGCCCATTACTTTTACATTGGTTCCCAGTTCTGATATCCTATCGCTTTCTATAGTAGCAGAAGTTTGTACTAGTAAGCTGACATTCAACATCATCAAACTCCCACTCATTAGTCTAAATAAATCTAATCTAATTAATGTAAACTAACATTTTTTTATCTTTATTGAGCAAGCAGATACTTCCACCATGATGATGTGCTTGTTTGGACTCAATTAACCAAATACTTTCACTCAAACAACTAGAAATTCATTTTATTTTCTTTTTGGTTAAATGTTTGACTAAATTGGTCATTTGTCTGAATGTATCCATCGGTTTAACTGAGAAAACAGATCTAATTATGTATATATGCTCAATTATACTATTGAAATCACTTTCATTTGAAGTCCATTTTTTACTAATATCAGTATTAGTATAATATTTTTACAGTATTTTGCTACAAAAAATAGAATAAACTATTTCCCTTATACTAACACTTTGTATACTCCTCCTAGGAATAAATGCTTCCTCAAAAATTCTGCCACTTGGTTTCTTCTGTCCGTTGAAAATGTTATGTCAGTTTAAGATCTTCTGGACTTGTCATGACAACTTATCAATGAAATGTAGCTAGTTTCACATCATTATTATCACAGACATTAGAATCCAGGCACGATGACCTTGAGATTCCTCATTTAGGCTTGAGCTGTGACTATTACCATTCTAACAAAAATACTACATGCCTGGTGCGGTGGCTCATGCCTGTAATCTCAGTGCTTTGGGAGGCCAAGATGAGGGGATTGCTTGAGCCCGGGAGTTTGAGACCAGCCTTGGTAATATGGAGAAACCTTGTCCCTACAAAATATAAATAAATACTATTTTAAATAATTTTTATAAATAAAAAGAAAAATTAGCCATGTGTAGTGGTGCACCTATAGTCCCAGCTACTCAGGAGGCTGAGGTAGGAGGATGGCTTCAGCCCAGGAAGTCGAGGCTGCAGTGAACCATGATTGCAGTACCGCACTCCAGCCTGGGTGACAGTGCGAGACCCTCTCTCAAAACAAAACAAAACAAAACTGTACAAAACAATAAGGGGGGATGGTTTTGAAAAATGACGTGTCTCCTTTGCTAGATAGGCCCAGAACCATCTAGAACATTCAACTTCCTAACCTCAAACCTAATAGGTTCTGGGTTTCTTCTTTTTTATATGGAATTCTTGGAAAATGTGATATTTGAGTTATGGTGATTAGAATCAGTTCTCAGAAAGGGGTCTGGTCAGAGAGGTGGCTGTCAGAGCTCCAGCATCCCACTGGATGTTTCTCTTCCTTGATGACGGCCTTGGTTGGGTTTTTAATAGTATGTTGAGTTTCACATTACAGCATTTTGTAGACAGCCTGTGGCATGGTTTATAATGAAAAACCTCTCAGGGCCATTTGATATCCTGATGTTTCATCTTGATGGTGAGTTGAGGGGACTGGCACTGCTGGTCCCTAGTCCCAGAACCCACACACACAAGCAAAGTGGAGCAAGCAACACTGTGGAGTGTTGTGAAGGTTTGTATCTCCCAGATAGACAGCCCCGATGAGACTGGAGAAAAAGGTCAGAGTATGCCCCAGCTACTCCACCGAGATGGTCTAGTAGACACTGAGAAACTTGCCTCTTCTCTCCTCTTTCCCCATCTGAAAGCTCCCATCCACTCCCTCCCTGCTCTTTGACCCCTGGAGGCGCTGTAAGGACCTCCTGGCCCTGCGGCTCTCTCAGGTGGAAGCTGTTCTTATTCTACGTCACTGGCTCTGTGTTCAGCTCTCCTAATGGCGCCTCCTTGTCACTTTTCTCTAAATGTTGGGGTATCCTAAGACTCCATTCTTGACTTTCTAATCTATCTACATCCTTCCAAGATGATCTCATCCAGTCCCATAGATTTAAGACATATTTCCTTGCTGTTGACCATCACATTTATTTATCCAGCCCTGACATGCCTTTGAGCTCCAGATTCACATACTCATCTAAGCATCCTTGCTTAGATGACTAAGTGAGGCACCCCACAACCAACAGTGTCAATGCTGAAACCTTCATCTTTTTCTGCCCTCAGATCACTTCTTCCCATCCCAACTGAGCTTTCCCCTTTTCAGTATGTGGCATCATTGTCCACCCAATTGCTCAGACTAAAACCCTTGGAGTTGTTACTGATTCTTCTCCTTCCCTTGGAGTCTACACCCAATCCATGAGTACATCCTGTCAACACTACTTGCAAAGTACATCCCCAAGCTGACCAATGCTCACCACCTCAACTGCAACAACCAGGTCCCAGGTCCCATCATTTCTCCTATGAACTGTTGCTCCTAACCTGTTCTCATCTCCTCATTGCATCCTACAGTCCATCTTACACAGGGCAGATACAGTGATTTTTCTAAAGCATAAATCAGATGATATCACTCCCCTGCCTAAACTTTGCTGATGTCTTTCAATGATGCTTAAAATAAAATTTGAAATGGCCTCCGTGTTCTGGCTCCTGCCTTCTCCTCTCACCTAACTAGGGACCCTTCTCCCTTTCGCCCTCTGCACTACAGTCATACTGTCCATTTAGCCACAGCCATTTTTATCTTAACACCATTGCACCTGCTATCCTGCTGTTTGGGGCACTCTTTCCCCAGGAATTTGTGTGGCCCCTGCCTCTCATTCTGGCATCTCCTTAGAGACGCATGCCTTCCTCACTCTGTTGATTAAGCAGTGCCCTGTCTTCCATCCCAGTCCCCAGGTTCCCTGTCTTATATAAGGGCCCTATTTTATCTCCTCAGTGTACTTAGAAGTACCTGAAATGATAGCATTTGTTTGTTTGGCTTTTTATGTTTGCTCCTTATCTCCCTCAATGGTAATGTGAGATTATAATACCTCACAGGCTAAAAGCTAAGATTATGTTTCTTCCCATCTACCACACAAAAACGTTGTAAGGTTTAATCCAATGAATGCTCCTCTTTAATGTAATGATCAGCATTAGCAATACTCAAACTCATGAAAACATCAAAAAGCACCCAATGCACTGCCCTACAAGGCTAGGGTAAAAATATTAAGAGGCCATCAATGTATCTGCATAGGATTGATTTTGCATTTCACGATGATTCATTAGCAAGAACAGGTGTTTGGAGCACAGGGACTGCGTCTTTGAGAGGCTTTAGTAGGGTCTAAAGTTTCACTCAGCATTGATCATGTGAGAACACTTAATCAAAGTGCATGATTAGTGGAGAGAGTTCTGTGAGCTCGTATGAATTTGGTTTGCTCTCTTTCCAAAGGGTAGCTTTTTGTTCAGACTGACAGTAGATGTCATTGATACCTCCTGAAGGCACAAGAGCCCGCTCTGTTTTGGGGGTTGCTCCAGACCTGCCTGGGATGTGGGAGCTCTGCTCTGACCATGGAGCACCCTAGACATGAGACAACCATATCCATGCCCAGTGACACCTATGTAAGGTGAGGGGCCACCAATCCCCAGGGACCACCCCAGAGGAGAGGCCAATATGGATAATGCCAAAAGCGATGAAGATAGTGTCATGTGGCTAGAAACACCTTCAGCACAGCCTAAGAATATTCAGAGATGCAAACTGAAGAAATGCGGGTAATGGCAAAGGCATTCGAAGAATCTCTTAGCTCTGGGAGTATACACAGGAGGAAATCCTATCTAGGAGGGAAGTGAGTCAGAGCCTGCTTACCACACTGGAGAAGGACAATCAGGTTTTAGAAGAGTCTTAGTACTTTATATCCTTGGGCTTTAAAACATTCTCTGATTTTTTTCATTTTTGATTGTTGAGTCCTGGAACAGTTATCAGGAAGTGCCTTTGGTGAACCCAGCTATGGGGAGAGGAACAGGTCTGGGGCCAGGCTCTGAAGGACAAATGCTCCGGACAGTGCTAGGAGGCCCCCGGAAGGCATTTCCGATGTACCCAGTGCCTTTCTGGAGAGTTGGCAGCAGTTCAAGAACTGTGCCTTATCCCGTCTTGTTAGGATATAAAACCGATGCTGGATATGGTGCATTGAGGCAGGTGGTCTGTAGTTTACATGCTACTTAAAATTCTGAAGCCACCTACAGTAAATGCTTGAAATAAATTGTGGGAAATCACTTGAATAATCTTGCAAACATCCATGTAATGCTTAAACAAAGGCCACCTAGAGACCAGGGAAAGGCTGCTGGAAGCCAGTGCACAGTTTACCTGGGAAGCCCCAGGGAGCAGCATGGGGAAGATGCTGGGAAATTACCCACCTGAGCTTCAGGCCATCCCCATTCATTCTGTTCTTTTTTTCTCATGATATATCACCCAGCCTAATCTCAAATTCGCTCTCAGAAATGGGGGAAGGACATCATTTCAGTTTTCGCAAAGTAACTGATTAAATCCCAGGTTTAAAATGCCTTGGTGAACAGAGTTCTTTCTATGCAAAGGATGAGCCCTGAATATACTATTTCCTTTTGGCCTGTGGAGGACTCTAATGTGAACGATTCTGCCATGTGGTATGAAATTCTCACGTGAATCATTGATGGCCTTGGAGAAAGGAAAGATCCTGATGCACGGCTCATCTCCTTATGAGGGAAATGGCAAACGAACCATAAAAGCAAGCAAATAAACCAACATGTGCCCAGGGAAACAGTGGCCCAACAAATCCTAAGCCATCAGAAGCAGTGAGATGTCCCTAGCAGGAATCCTCCCAACGGCAGCGCTCAGAGCTCCTGGTTAGAATTTCAGTTGTTGCTTATATAATTTCAAGTGATAACAAGAAGCTATTTTATTACTCTACTGGGTTCAGACTCTTGATCTATACTACCACCTTGAAGGATCATTTCATGTGTAATTTAGCAGCATTTATCTGATATGTGTCCAACAATAACTTACCCATTCTCTGTGGGTCAGCCTTATGGAATCTCTAGGGAGGCAGAGAAAGAAAAGAGACTGTTCCCACTCTCTAGGACTTCACGGTCCATGAGAAACAGAGACCAGCAAATCCACAATGGCAATCCGGGGGCCACACCGGCTGGGCAGAGTACAGAGCATGTCAAGGGTCACAGATCAGGGTAGAGGAGGGGCGCCGAATTCAGCCCTGGTGGGCTCCAAAAGGAAAGGTGTTGGGAGCAGAACATACTTAAGGTGAGTTTTCATGAAGAAATAGAAGTTAGCTAAGAGAAGAGGAGGAAAAAATGCACTCCCAAATAAGGAGGAACTGAGGCTGAGGATGGGATGTGTCAGGGAATAAGGCCCTTTTGGACACCTGGCTGTAGGGAACATGGGTGTGGGCCTCTGGGAGAAACTGAGGGAGGTAGAAACCAAGCAATGAAGATTCTTCTAGGCTACTAAGGATGTTGCCATTTACTCTGAAGGCCGTGGGGAACCCAGCATAATTAGGCTTATATTGCAGAAAATTGACTCTGGCATCAGTGTCAGAGGCATTTGAACCAGAGCAACTCCATCTTGAATAGGGGTGGGGTAAAATGAGGCTGAGACCTACTGGGCTGCATTCCCAGATGGTTAGCCATTTGATGTCACAGGATGAAATAGGAGATTGGCACAAGATACAGGTCATAAAGACCTTGCTTATAAAACAGCCTGCAGTAAAGAAACTGGCCAAAACCCACCAAAACCAAGATGGCGACGAGAGCAACTCTGGTCGTCCTCACTGCTACACTCCCACCAGCGCCATGACAGTTCACAAATGCCATGGCAACGTCAGGAAGTTACCCTATATGGTCAAAAAAGGGGAGGCATGAATACTCCACCCCTTGTTTAGCATATCATCAAGAAATAACCATAAAAATGGGTGACCAGCAACCCTCGGGCAGCTCTGTCTGTGGAGTAGCCATTCTTTATTCCTCTACTTTCCTAATAAACTTGCTTTCACTTTACTCTGTAGACTGGCCCTGAATTCTTTCTTGCGTGAGATCCAAGAATCCTCTCTTGGGGTCTGGATTGGGAACCCTTTCCGGTAACATCAGTATAGATGACAGATCAGAGAGCAGCAAGGCTAGAGGTTTAGGATGAGGATGAAGGTGGGAGATCAAACGATGCTTCATCAATAGAATTGAACACAATGGATGACTCACTATATAGAGAGACTGAGGGAAAAAGAGTTGGGTGTGATGTCCAGGTTTCTGATTTAGACAAGCAGACATTTGCTTAGAAATGCAACATTGAGGGATATGTCTTAAAGATGACAAAACTTCAAAAGTTTCCAAGGTAAACCTGTTAAAGTTTCTAAAGTAAACACAAATTATCTTAATTCAACAAGCTTATTCTAGGCTTCACTTTGACTATGAATCAAGAGGCAGAGCTTTAAGCACCCAAGAGGACTCTGGATTGCAGATTTGAGTTACAATGCTTGAAGTTCTCAGGGTATATTACAGTTCCCACGTAAGTGGGGTGTGACCTTGAATGCACAAAAGATGAGGACCCTAAGAATAGCGATTCTGCTGCCATGCAAGCAAGATATATAAATATGAATGTCAAGCCACTCCAATGCATGAAAGGCTTTAAAGATGCCTGAGAGTTCCAAAGTGCACCGGGCCTCACATAAGCACAATGAAATGATAATGAAGACAACCAGTAGCAGCGACCACCCACCAGCGGTTTTATTGCTGTAACTAGGAATGAAGGGTCTCCCTGGAACAATTGACACTGGATGGCATTGTCATTTTTAGCACATGCTAAAGCTGTGATTGTGAAAGGAATTGTCTCTGTTAAACCAAAGCCAGACTATTTATGGACATCCCTGCTCCCACTCCATTCTTGTGCCATGGCCATAGGTAGGAAAAAATGGAAAATGGCTGCTTGGTTGCCACACATTTTCCCATAAATCCCCTGTCCATGCTTAATCAACCAAGGAAGAAATATGCGTCAGAGGCCTCTTTTTGGAGGGCTTTGAGCTTAAGTTCAGCAAAGGCCCCTACCTTCCTATTTATTCCTTCACCTTCTGCAAACCTTGGGTCACGGTCCCCACTCAGGCCACCCACAATGCTACAGGTCAAAGGACTGCACTTAACCTTGGTGGGAGTAGCTTTCCAACAATCAGAAGAGACAAAGTCACTGACTTTAGTATGTGGAATGCAAATATCAGACAATAATAACGTCATTGTCCCTGTTTTAGAAACACTCACACACAGGCAAGCACAAAATCCTCGACAGTCTATGCTGTAGGAAGTGAGCTCAAAGAAACAGTTTTTGTGCCCATCTCCTCATTACTCCATAGTTAAGACTACTCAGCACTAGAAAGAGTGTGGTGAGGTTTTTGTGGGTTTCAGTCCTTCCTGGTTTTTTAACTCCATAGTCCAAGTAGATGAGCAGGCAGGAAGACTGAGTATGACGACTACACCGTCCATTTCGGTCTCTCAGGCGCCAGCACAGGTTTGGAGGCAGAGCGAGGAAAAGGACTTTGAAGTCAAGTAAGTTTATGCATTTTTTTTCTGCTCTAAGAAGTACAGTTTCTCTCAGTCCAAGAGCTCCATTCAACTGGACATCCAGCCTTTTTTTTATTTGATTATTTCCTACTGCCTATTAGGTGGCTTCTAGAACGAGGAACCTCTATGTTCAAGAAACATGATGTGTCAGACACTGGAGGGAGTGAGGGCTGACAGGGCCTACACAGTGTGGATTCCTTCACAGAACTAACAGGGATGCCTTGCACCCCAAGAATTCTATCAGGGATGACAGGCCACTAGGAAGTCCTCAGGACCAAAAAAACTTGCAAAGACAAGCATTCCTCTGACAAGAACTGAGGCCAGTTATGTGCTGGCATAAGACCAAATCAACTGAGTCTCTGCCAAGTAGGTTGTCATTTCATTCAGACTCGGGGGACATCCACGTGGGGGTAAAGATTTCGGGGAGGGGCACAGTGGAACCAGAGGTTGCATCTGACCAGCGTCCGCAGTTTCAAAGACACTTGCACAGCCTTTCCTAATGGCCTTTAATCTACAACGAGCCACAACGATGGTGCCCCGGCCACCACCAAGCAGATCCTTTGGAATAGCAGGCTCTGGAGTCACACACACCTGCCTTGGGTTTCACCTTTGCCCTCCGTGATCTGGGTAACCACAGGTATGTCCATCTGGCCAAGCTTTGGTTTCCTCTTTGGTAAAATTAGGTATGAAAATAATATAACTTCCCTGTGGAATTATTTTGAAGTGCTGTGAACTAGTGCCTGGAACATCCCAGCATTCAATAATGTCAGGTATGAAGACACAACTCTACTCCACAGGGCAGAGCCAGGAGGATGGAGAAGCGACGGCCCAGCATCTGGGCACAGAGCTGGGAATACAGGACTTCTCACTCTGAATTTGGATGAAAATCGTGACTTCCAAATTAGACAGCATTAGAATAAGGCCTCTATTCTGGATATTTCTGGCCTTGTTTGTCTCCAAGCCCAAATGCACCATGCTGCTAATCCCAGGACACAGGGATTCACAGCACTGTGCCAGGCCGTTGTTGGCACCAGGGAGACAGAGGTGTAACATGTTTTGCCTTCAGCTCCCTAAACTAACAGGTAAAGTACATGCCTGAAAACCCACTATCCCTATTTCACCACCTTCAGCAATTGTGTGTTGTCTGCAAAACAGATTTTGCTGCATTTCAACCAAGGTCCATATACCCGCAATGGGCCTGAGGTTACAGACTGCTAACAACACTGCCCGGTTTCTTACCAAGAGAAACTTGTCCTAGACTGGAACCCAGGAAAGAACTCCTTCAAGTACAGTTCTGACTTTGAATGAGCCTCAGATGTGTCTACATCTCTTGGACAAGGAGAGTTACAGGTAGATAAGAGTCACAGCAAACAAACTTTGCTTCCCACTTGCTGGGAGTGCAGGACTGGAGGAGAAGGAGAAGAAGAAGGGTGGGAAGGAGAGAGGGAGGAGGTAGACAAGGTAGATAGAAATGTGACAAAATTACCTATGTACTTATTAAAGATGAAAGCTGATGTGGCTTTAGAGAAGAAAATCCCTGCATTAACAAATAGTGGCCGGGTGCGGTGGCTCACGCCTGTAATCCTAGCACTTTGGGAGGCCAAGGCAGGTGGATTACTTGAGGGCAGGAGTTGGAGACCAGCCTGGCCAACATGGTGAAACCCCTTCACTACAAAAAATACCAAAATTAGCCAGGCGTGGTGGTGGGCACCTGTAATCCCAGCTACTTGGGAGGCTGAGGCAAGGAAATCATTTGAACCCAGGAGGCGGAGGTTGCAGTGAGCTGAGATCGCACCACTGCACTCCAGACAGGGCGACAGAGTGAGACTGTGTCTCAAAAACAAAAACAAAACCAAAAAACAAATAGCGACTTTTCTTATTGATGACTCCACCTGAAAGACGTATAATTTCTATTGATAAAGCTGGTTATTTTTAATTTCGATAATAAAAAATGAACTTGTATTCATCTCTGATGTGCTATTACAACTACCACAGAATGCACAATGGAGGCCACAGCATGACAAACTGTAATTCATTCAAAAAATTAGATATTTTTACCGAAACAATGGCTTCAGTACAAATTGGCTATTCTGTAAAACATTCTAGGCCTATGTCTGATGTCTGGATATTACTTGTTATGCTATTGGGTCCATCTAAAAGTCATGGTATTGTGAGATTGTAACTAATACTGTCAGAGGCCTGAGCCAGAGTGACTCCATCTTGAATAGGTGCTGAATAAAATAAGGCTGAGGCCTACTGGGCTGCATTCCCTGGAGGTTAAGGCATTCTAAGCCACAGGATGAGATAGGAGACTGGCACAAGATACAGGCCACAAAAACCTTGCTGATAAAACAGTTTGTGGTGAAGAAGCGGGTCAAAACCTACCAAAACCAAGATGGCAATGAATGTGACCTCTGGTCATCCTCACTGCTCATTGTACCCTAATTACAATGCAGTAGCACTCTAAGAGACTCTCCCGCCAGCACCATGACAGTTAACCAATGCCATGGCAACATCAGCAAGTTACCCTATATGGTCTAAAAGGGGAAGAACCCTCAGTTCTGGGAATTGCCCACCCCTTTCCCAGCAAACTCATGAATAATCCACCCCTTGTTTAGCATATAATCAAGAAGTAACTGTAAGTGTTCCTAACTGAGGAGCCCATGTCTCTGCTCTGCCTATGGAATCACCATTCTTTATTCCTTTACTTTTTAAATAAACTTGCTTTCACTTTATGGATTTGCCCAGGATTCTTTCTTGTGTGAGATCTAAGAACCCTCTCCTGAGGTCTGGATCTGGACCCCTTTCTGGTAACAATACATCTTGATACAAATTATATAGTGTACTCTGATTTCTTAAAAGTAATTTTTGAAATTTAAGGCAGTACGAAGTTGATTTAGTAGGCAACTGCATACACCCAAGGACTCTGGGTACTTAGAATTACGGTAAAAATGTCCCCAAAACCCTCAGTGTCCTAAACAGATATCTTCAGTGCCAGTTAGATCTAAGCTGTTTATCCTCAAAAAGCAAACAGGTACAGCAGCATTATTCACAACAACCAAAAGGTGGAAATAACCTGTCCATCAACAGGTGAATGGATCAATAAAATGTGATATAATATTATTGGAATATTATTCAGTCATAAAAAGAAATGAAATTCTGACACACGCCACAACATGGGTGAACCTTGAAGACATTTGCCAGAAGGAATAAGCCAGTCACAAACCACAAATGCCGAGAATAGGCAAGTTCAAAGAGACAGAAAGAATAGAGGCTATCGGGGGCGGGAGGGAGGAGAGTTACTGCTTAATGGCTAGAGTTTCCACTTAGGATGCTGAAAAAGCTCTGGATATAGATAGCGATGGTTACAGAGCATTACAAAGGTACTTAATGCCACTGGATTGTACACTTAAAGTGGTAACGGTAACTTTTAAGCTATGCATAGTTTATTACAATAAGAAAAAGAGAAGGAGGGAAGGAAGGAAGGGAAGGAGGGAAGGATGGAGGGGGAAGAAAGGGAGAGAGAGAAAGAAAGAAAAGAAAGAAAGAGAGAGAAAGAAAAAGAAAGGAAGGAAGGAAGGATGGAAGGGAGGAAGGAAGGAAGAAAGGAAGGGAGAGAGGAAGAGAGGAAGGGAGGGAAAAGAGAGGGAGAGAGAGAGAGAAAGAGAGAAAAGAAGAAAGAGAGAAACAAGGAAGGAAGGAGAGAGAGAAAGAAAAAGAAAGAAAGAAGAAAGAAAGAAGGAAGGAAGGAAAGAAAGAAAGAAAGAAAGAAAGAAGGAAAGAAAGAAAGAAAAGAAAGAAAAAGAAAGAAAGAAAGAAAGAAAGAAAGAAGGAAAGAAAGAAAGAAAAGAAAGAAAAAGAAAGAAAGAAAGAAAGAAAGAAAGAAAGAAAGAAAGAAAGAAAGAAAGAAAGAAAAAGAAACCCAGAGCAGTACCCCTTAGCTCTCACTGTTGGGAACCAACTCTTCTGCATCTAAAATTTCTGAAGAACAGCAGTGTGTTATGTCTCTGAGTTCTAACAACAGACCATTAACCTACTCCTTACCGAGGGTGAACTAGACACAGGCATAGAGGTAAAGTAAGATGCTCCTGAAACTTTCAGATTGTTGTACAGTATGGCTGGGAACAAAAGGCAGTGGGTAGAGGGTGAGGGAGGGGCCTTAAAACAAAGTGAGAACAATAGTGACAAAAATGAATAAGAAAACTAGTCGTGGAATAATATCAGCAACTGCATATGTAGACTAGACACCTCTTGCCCATACATTTATTTCTCAATCCCTTGGGAGAAGTCAAAAATCTTTTTTCCTTTCAAACATCTGGTGGGGGGTGTGTGTGTATCACTAAGCGATTAGTGTATCAGCCTCTCTTAAACATTCGCTCTTAGTGATCGAATTATGTTTGAGCCCACCCACTTTTCTCTGAGCGTTCATCATGGATGAGCTGAGTGCTGGGTGTTAATATAAACAGCATGGTAACGCACAGGATGCAAGGGGAGTACCCATTTAGAGAGAACTAATACAATTCAATCAAAGGACGTCCTCAGTGGTGGAGCATCTGTGTGCCTTATCCCAACAACTTCCACCACCCCTACACGGCAGGAAGAGGGGGTAATAAGCACGCAGCCGCCTGTGATGCCCACTCCTCCTGGAGACACTGGCGTCGGGGAAAGAAACAGGAATGAATCAAGCAGGGTTATACGGTGGGAGAGTTTGAGGAGCCCATGTAACCAGCCTCTATATTTACGCTGACAGCTCCATAGCTGGGGTCCTATCGGTGGTCCTTAGCAGATTCGGAAAACATTCTAATGGAGGTAGGTAGAACCAGAACATAGCAACATCGCCTGTACGCCCGTTACAGATACAATCTGGTGGGACCTTAGAGATCGATGTCCCTTACTCTGACTGAGCTGAGGTCAGTCGGATCGCATGTGCAGATCGCTTTTGGCCGGCGGTTGCAGCTGCTGTGGACTGGGCATTGTCCAACGCTGCCAGCGGGCTGCCCTGCACAGTGGGGAGTCCCTCCCTCCCTCCCTCCTAAAGCTGGGCCCAGGCGGCCTGTTTGTTGCTACTGCCGCTGCCGCCGCTGCTGCTGTTCCTCAGCTGTCCGCAGCAAGGCCGTGTGTTTGAAGTTGGGCACAGTGTGCCTTTGAGGTGGCTCTTTGGCCCATTCATTGCAGCTGTCCCACTTGTGCTGGCACAAAGCAGCTGCCGGCCCCCTGCACACATCCTGCCCACAAAGCCCGGCATGGGCCCCATGCCCTCAGGGTCCAGGGGCTGCTGAAGCCACGCCTGGCTGTGGGCTGTGGATCGTGTGTTATGTCCAGCTCGGCTCTGGCAGTTACCTTTCTGCCAGTTGTTAAGCATAACCTGAGCCAAGGTCACGAGGCAAGTCTGACGTCCAGGTGGGCTGGTTAGTTGCACACACTTGTTCTGTGACTCCAGAAGGCTCATAAATGTGAGCCTCTGATGATCACAGGGGGAGACAGGACAAGAAAGGGACGGTTGAACTGACGGCAGGGTGTCACTTCTACTGAAAAACAAGTCAGAATTTGCTGTCTGTGAACAATGGGTTGGTAGGACCCCAGCGTTTCTACAGGAGCACAGTGTGTAAATCATTGACTATATAGGACACTTAAATGAAGAAGGCTGGAAGATAAACTCAGTCCTTTTTATTTCCCAATCCAGCAAATGGGCTGAGCTTACAAGGTAGATAAAACAATGTCCGTGGACTCTATGTCTGCTATAGGCTTCAGCACACAAACTGCTCCCATGGGATTGTGCCAGGCAGTAAGAATTATATTTATAGCACGTTGAATTGAAAATATTTGCCACAAGTTCTGAGCCAAATTTTTAAAACAAGCTCGTTTCTAGACCACTTGTGTGGTCTAGAAAATTCAGCCTGCCTGAATAAAACGAGAAAAATGATAGTAATTTAATATTCAATCCTGCTCTATATAAATGCAGAATAAAACAGGAGGTCAGCCAGCTGATGAAAGAGGTGAAACAGTGGATGAAAAAGCCATATTAATCAAAAAATTACCATTTTGGTGAGACTTGACCCTTATCTTCAAGATAAAATATAAAAGGGAAGGTTGATAAACCACCGATAATTGCCATTTTCAATTTGATTTTTCCGGTCCGTGTAGGAACTTTAGGGGCTTAAAAATTAATACCTGATTTATCAAAATTAAAAATTCCCAAGCTTAAAATCTAATTTTTCCTCAAGTTTAGGTTCAACTCACAACTCTTATTATTCTATTTAAACATCGAATACATTTTTCCAACTACTTTTAAGAGTCCTTTTACTTCTTAATTAAATTACTTTAAATATTTAAAATTGTATTTATAAAAATAATATATTCTGCTTCTTTTTAAAAATGCTTCAATTATCTGATTAATAAACAAAAGTTTCCCAAGTATCTACACTGCTCTCTTAAATCTAATAAAAAGGGAACTTTTTCATACAATGGTTCTTAAGCCTCTTTAAACTTTTTGTATATTGTTTACAATTTTGGTAATATTCTCTTATGTTTTTCAACTTAGAATCGTAAGTCAAATTGATTACCTCCATTTCACATTTTAAACTGAAATGTGAAATTAGAATGGTATTCTGTTACACATTGAAATGTGCCCATTTTTCTTAAGTATTCCAAAATCCAAATACAGCAAACATATACTTACTCTGCCCAAATTTAGCCTAAAGTCTTAATTTATTGGTTTGATTTATTTTAAAATTTAAATATTTAATGCTATATCGTCCCAAAGTTTAAAAAAACATTTTTAATTTATCCACTCAAAAAAATTTTGTTATCCTAACCCAAACAAGTTTATGGAAGTTTCTTTAAGACCTAGGACTTGATTCTTGCTGCAACCATGATGAGACAAAATGAGGTGTCTTTATTGTTACTCTAACAGGTACACCAAAACTTGATAAAGGGATTGGTCACTCGTCCATGTTCCAAGACTTAAATCCTATCATTATTTAATTTTCTGTCCACTCTCTGAAATCTGCAATTCCCACCAAGACGTAACCAACTCCCTCCACTGTCTTAGCTGGATTTGTCTCTCTTTGACTCTTGAGATAAGTGAACACCAACTTGTGGATTTCGAGTATTTCCTAAGCCTTTGCCTGCCTGACGCTGTACATACAATCAAAACAATGCTAATGACACCAGTGTGCCCCACTGAAGACAATGAAAGAAATATGCAGAGATGCTGTTGATGAAGGCTATCTAACCCAGCCTGATGAGTAGGAGCTGGCAAAGAATGGAAACCTCTTGGCTAAATTCAGGTTTTACTGAGAATGCCCAGATAGCAGTGGGGACAATTCCTTTGACAAGACTGAAGGCAAGGAGGTGGCTGCAGAAATCCTGGTAAGAGATATTAGGCAGTGAGAGGTTATACACAAATGAGTGGGACAAAGGGTGACAGATTGACAGGTAGAGAAAATAAGTATTATTCAAAATCTGATGCCTTCATCAAGTTTCAAAAGTGCTCAAGTTTTGGCTGAATTTTTAAACAAGTATCTGTAGGTAGATATTCTATGTTGTTGCTTGAAGTGAGAACAGAAAGTTCTGAATGACAGCTGTATTAGGGTTGGGTAGGAGGAAAAAGTCGTCATCTTCTAAGGAACATTCAGGAGCCAGATGTGTTCACACTCCTTTTGCAGGTCATCTCCTTTAGCTTAAAAGTCACTTCTTTCTGCTTTCTCAGGCTTAGTGAGGGTGCCCTTTCCTGCACTCTCACAGTGCCCTGTATGTCTTCCTTAAATCATACATACAGATTTGTAATTAGGTAATTATTTGTGTAATTACTTGGACAATATCTTTCCCACCCTATGAGAACTAGAACCATGTCTGTCCTGTTCACTGATACATCCCTGGTAGCCTAGTACACGGTCCAGCTTCTAAGAGTCCTTGGACATCAGAACTCCAGGCTCTTTAGCTTTTGGACTCCAGAACTCACATCAGCCACCCCAGATTCTCACCCTTGGGCCTCAGGCTGAGTTACGCCATCAGCTTCCCTGGTTCTGACACTTTCAGGCTTGTACTGAGCCATGAACCCAGCATCCCAGGGTCTCCAGCTGCAGATGGTCTGTTGTAGGACTTCTCAGCCTCCATAATCATGATAGCCAATTTCCTTAGTAAATCTCCTCTCATCTCTCTCTATTTTTTAAAAAAGAACCTTCTAAAATGTAGGCAAGGGTGTCAGTTTAAAAGCTACAAATAGGAGGAAGGTTGTCAGGGGAGTGCGGACTTTAGACCTGAGATTCTACACATCTCTTCGAATGTTATAAGCAGCTCTCAAAACAATAAGAAGAAAAATAATTCCTTTGCGAATTATGTCAACCGAATGATTAAAAGTCATACTAAGTCTGAAACATTTTAAATGGTATTATAATGTAAGGCTGATGAGTAATTTAACTCTAATGTTTCATGTAGACATTTGTCAAATACATTCAGTATAATAATTACTTGGGTATTATGTTTAAAAAATATAAATTATAAAAAAATAACTTTTTTCTATTGCTGGGGAATTCTGACTCCTAGTCGCACATGAAAACTGGCTCCTCAAGTTTATTGCCAGGTTTATGATGCTCTGATTTATAGTAACATTTTAAAAATAAAAATTATAGGCAGGTTTGATATCACAAGGGACATGTGACTTCTAACCTCAGAGTGAATGTGGCCTCTCACGTTTATTGCCAGATTATGATTTTATGATGCTCTGGTTTATAGAGACTGCAAAAGTTCCTATAAGGCATTCTGTTCTTTATCACAATCATCTTTGAATCTTTATTTATGATCATGTTAATATTGTGCTTTAGTATTTTTGTGTTTCTGACAATTTTATGGCCCATGAGAGAAGGATCCTTGGGGCGTCTGCTCTGCCCGTAATTCCTGGCCTTCTAAAGTAACTGACCTCATCACAATTCATTGAAACAGTACTGTTACTTCACATACGACAAGAACAAGGGGCTATGGGCTGTTTAAATTAAGTAGACATAAGCCAATGACAAATTCCATAAAACATATTCAGACATAATTACAAATCTTAAGAGTAAATCAGAATCTGAAATCAGTAGCTGCATCAGGTTGTGAGACCCCTGGTATTTTGGAGCCTCCTTTTAGAAACAGGAAGTAAGGGGGCCACCAAGCGGAGCCAGGGCACACAAGGGGGTCCCTGAACTCCTTTGTACCCTCAATTTGGTGCTTATTGAGGGCTAGTCCTGTTCCAGATGGAGCTATCCGCACAGAAGCCATTCTCTGGGGGGCAGGGAGGCCTGACCACCGGAAAGCACCTACCCAATGTGAAACTTCTGGAAAATTCTGGTTGTACTCTCCATAGAGAAAATATTTATCTGGGCCAAGATGTGAATTAAAACCAACAGCTGTCCCCACTGGCCTTGTGGGAAAGCAAACAAAACTCAGAATTTCTGATGTTCCTCACTCTCCACACTCTCAGTTAAAAGAGAAAGGAGGCCTATTTGCCATTTTCTCAGCAGTGTGGGCTTTCCAGAGATACGGCACTTGGTTCACTTTCACGTTACATATATATATATATCTTTGTTTAGTCATAGTGAAGAGGAGGTGGGTTTTAAAATGTCAAAGCACTGGCCTCAAGACAGTGGGCGTGGTTCCCATTTGTACAGCACAGAATTTGAGGACACAGGGCCATCTATGAGAAGAGCTTGTTAACCTGGAATCCCTACCTGCTGTCTCCAACCCTCCTGTGGAAGTCGGAGGTTCTGAAGATAATTTGGTAAGTAAGCAAAGCACAGGAAACTCACACCGCCTGCCGTGTTTTTAAAGAGGAGTGACCCCTGATCTCGAAGTCGGCTTCTGGAGTCTGTCTCTTTCCTGAGTTTCCCTCTATGTACCCTGGAGGCAAGTGCGCAGTCCAGGCTCCCTGCACTGCTGCCCCTGAGAATGGTGAATCGGGAGCAAGAAAAGTACATTCACACTCAATCACATGAGGCAGCTAGCCATCCGTTCCTGACGGCGTGGACGGTAACCTGGCAGAGCAAGCAATAGGCTAGAAATTCAAAGTCTATGGATTTTAATCCCTGCTGTGCTGTGTGTGACCCCAGGGTGAGCCTCTTAACGTTCATCCTGCTTCAGTGTCCACATCTGTAAGAGAGAGGACTAGTCACACAGCTGGCAAATATTAGCAACATGTTGCTGTTGAACTGATGGATGAGGGTTCCTCAGAGCTCTGTCACCTTCTCCTTAGAGTATGGGGAAGGCTTCCAAGGCATGAATCTGTCTAATGTTTTGTTAGATCCTTTGCACAAATGCCTCATCCCTGTTTTAGATAAAACCTCATCTTATTCCTCTACTCTTGGGCATCTCTGGCAGGGCAGGGCCCTGGCTGCAGTTACCATTGGATGCCAGGGATAGGCTGAAATCACAAGGGGGAGACTGAAAAGTGGGGGAAGAGAATGGGAAGGTTGGAGACAGAGAGAGGCAGAAATCAAAGCTGTGCCCAGGCTAGGCGGGCTCAATGTCTTAAGAACACAATGGGACTTAGACCCAGACAGACCTGGGTTCAAACCTCCCACGCAGCTGTGACGTAACTGCCCTATGGCTCATTTTCTCCATCAATAAAATAAAGGATGGCTGGGCACCGTGGTTCATGCCTGTAATCCCAGAGCTTTGGGAGGCTGAGGTGGGGAGATCACTTGAGCTCAGGAGTTCACGGCCAGCCTGGGCAACATATAGAGACCACATCCCTATTAAAAAGTAAAAAATTTAGCCAGGCATGGTGGTGCATGCCTGTGGTCCCAGCTACTCAGGAGGCTGAGATGGGAGGATCTCTTGAGTCCAGGAGTTCGAGGCTGCGGTGAGCTATGATCACATTACTGCACTCCAGCCTAGGTGACAGAGTAAGACCCTTTCTCTAAAAATAAAAATAATAATAATAATAAAATAAACAAATAAATAAGATGGAGACAATAGTACCTACATCTGAGCATTGCTGTGAAGATGGAACCCGTGAGTACATGTGGAGCCCTTAGCACACAGTAGGCTTTGATAAGTGGTAGCCGTAATGCTACTGCTCAGATGTAGAGGGTTTTTACTTTTTATTTACCATCCTACCTTTTTCTGTATATGACTCATAGCCTAAATCAAGAAATCAAGGTCTTGCTGGGAGAGGGAGACCTGGATTTATTGCACATTTTTTTAAAACAATTTCAACTTTCATTTTAGATTCAGGAGGCACAGGTGCATGTTTGTTACATGTATTGCACATTCTTTCTTTCTCCTTTTTGTTTTTCTTTTTTTGTTTGTTTGTTTTTGTTTGTTTGTTTTTTGAGACAGGGCATGGCTCTGTCACCCAGGCTGGAATGCAATGGCGTGATCTTATGTCACTGCAACCTCTGCCTTCTGGGCTCAAATCATCCTCCCACCTCAGCCTCCCGAGTAGCTGGGACTAGAGGTGCAAGCCACCATACCCCTCTAATTTTTATAGTTTTGGTAGAGACAGGGTTTCACCATATTGCCCAGGCCGGTCTTGAACTCTAGGGCTCAAGCAATCCTGCTGCCTTGGCTTCCCAAAGTGCTAGGATTACAGGTGTGAGCCACCACGCCCAGCCCTTGTACTGCACATTCTTTACAGCTCCCTGGGAGGCTGCCTTCCCTCTCAGTGTTTCCATGCTGCCCCCTGACTCACAATAAAGCATCAGCTCCTGCTCTAGCATGGGAGGTGACTTGCTCTGCAGAAGAGGCACTGAGTGTAGCCACAGCAGCCTTTAGAAGGAGCTGGGCATGAGTTCAGATGCATCATGGAGGACATCTGCCTGGAGGAGCGGACGGGGAGACAGCTCATCCCATGACATTAGAGCTGCTTGTCTGTTTCCCGCTCTGGGTTCTCAACTCCTTAGAGGCAAGGACCCTACTTCCCAGGGATTTCAGAGAGGAAATAAATGCCTGTGAAACACCGAGCACAGTGACAGGCACATGGTTCTCACGAAATGGTCCCTACTTAAAATTCAAATGCTACTGCTGATCATAATCCTTATGACATTCATGATGCTTATATTCTTAAGGTGAGGCTTTTAGGAGACTCTCGATAAATGTCTGTCAAGCTGGAAAAAGTCTGTGATGATCATTTACAGAATTTATTCCTTCACCACCTGGGTGGGTTGACATTCTTGAGCCTATAAAGTAGAGAAGGATGAAAAAAATTCTATTTTCTCTGAAACTCCAGGAAATCTTGTGGCTAAATCTAAGGAAATGGTGTCCCATCACTCAAGACTGAAGAGCAAACACACAGGAAATTTCTCACAACTTCCCCTAAGTCACCTACTGTCTTCAACATCCAGAAGCACCCACTCTCAGCAAAGTGGGAGCTTAAAAGCCATTTTAGTTTGGAACAAATGTCGTTCTTCTTTATACGTTAATATGACACTGAACCACTTCAACCTTCCACTCTTTCACAGGTCAAACATGGTCAAATATTGACATCATAATAATAGAGATGACTTTCACAAACACCTATTGCATTGAAATAAAAGAAGAAATTGATTGCCTAATATAGATGGGTTTCAGCATCCATTTTTTCAAATGAGAGCCTTGCAAGAAATCGACAGTCCTTACTCTACATTCACAAAATTGTGACCAAAATGAACGACATTTCCCTTTCTTCAACAGCCTGTACATATGTTTAAAAGACTTTGCTATTGGTTTTATGATTCATTTTTTTCTCAGGCTTACTCTGGGAATGATATCATTGAATAAAAAAATATTTTTATTTAACAAACACTCAGACAGAGCTCATGATGTGCCAGGCACCATTCTAAGCACTTCATACACATTAACGCATCTTACTCTCTTAACGATTCTAATGAGATAGGTACTATTCTTCTCCATGTTTTACAAATGGGGGAAGTGAGGCATACAGAGGTTAAAGAAGTTTGCCCCAAATCACAAGGCTATTAAATAATGGAGGTAAGATACACTTCTTGTCACTGCTATACTGTCATTTCATGCCAAAGGTGAACATTAAAACAATAACTAAAAATGGTATAGCTGTTCTCAACAGGATTTCTTGACCTTCTCTTCCCTATCTTCTTGGCTATGGGTTGTTTTTTTTCTTTAATCTTTTGTTAATGGTTTGGGACCTTATTATACCTGTTATTTCATTACAAGCCGTTGAAATCACTACCCTTTTTATTTTTTAAAGATACTTATAGTATATAAATAATTAAATAGCAATTTCAACTCCTTATATAGTTAAGCCTAAGAGGCATTGTACAGTTTGGGTCTTTGCATTTATTCACTCCCTCTCTTCCTTCTTTGAAAGTGTTGGTTTTCAAGGTACTTATGTAGAACCCACATTTCACTATGCATTTACTTAGCCAACAGAACACAGTTACATTCATTGGTTTCTGCCCACACTTATAGTCCAGGATTTTCCAATAGCGCTATTGAGTATTTAAATGAATTATTTGTGAATATATTTATATATCTTTGCATTTGCATTTAATATAGACACAAATCATTGTTTGGAAGATTGCGTTTTAGCCTGTGGTGATTTATAGGCTCATAATAGCAGTAATAGCATGAAAGAAAAATTTTCAAATTTATTTACAGGTAGCCAACGCTGAGATCATAAATTAAATGACAAGAAGCAACTAAAGTAGTCATCAAAACTCTGGCTGGGCGTGGTGGCTCATGCCTGAAACCCCAGCATTTTGGGAGGCCTAGGTGGGAGGATTGGTAGCCTGAGACCAGCCTGAGCAACATAGTGAGACCTCCCCTCTCTTTAAAAAATTTCAAAAATTAGCTGGACATAGTGGCATGCGTCTGTGGTCCCAGCTACTTAGGAGATCGGGACAAGGAGATGGCTTGAGCCCGGGAGTTTGAGGCCGCAGTGAGCCATGATCATGCCACTGCATTCCAGCCTGGGCAACAGAGCGAGACCCTGTCTCGGAAACAAAAACAAAAACAAAAACAAAAACAAATTCTTCGTTTGCCTTCGACCTAAACCCTAACCTGTATCTGAATAAAGAGCATATTTAATCAAGTCATGAAGCTTTCTAGAAAACCAGCCCCTGCATCTAACAAGACATCAATTTCTGAACAGCTTAATTGAATTAACGAGAAGATTATTCACTTGGCAGGATGTTGTGTGTGTGTGGTGGTGGGGTGGTAGTTGTTGATCACAGAGCAGCCAGATTCAGGCACAATTGGCTACTGCTGTCAATTTAATTAGTAGTATAGATCCTGTCTCAAATAGTTCTTCATTCCAGTATTTGGTGTTAAAAGAAGTATCAATCATCCTTGGTCTATTTGGTTGAGTGCATAAGTTACTTCTCTGATTTTTAAAGATGCCATATCTTTTTCTCTCCCATTCACTCATTCATCCACACAACAATGAACACCTGCTATGTCGCTAGCAACTGGGGCTACAAGACGATGCATAGTCTTTAAAGGTAAAAACATTTGAGGTCATTTAGGTGAACTTGAAGGAGAACTCCTTACTTTGCCTCTGAAGAGATTTCCTTTATGGACAATTTCAGGCTTTATTTTGAAAATGTGTGAATAACAACTTATTAAAATGTTAATGTCAGAATTTTAGGATTTGCAAAATAATGCTTTAAACCTGTAGTTTGTGGCATTTAAAATTATGTTTCCTGAAATGTTTTGAGTTGTGTTTTTTTTCCAGATTGTCTTTTCATGTGGTAGATGGGAGAACAGGAACTTCTCAATGGAGTAATTCCACAGAGCAGGGTGGCCTCATAGGACACTGAGCTGGTGATAACCAGGTTGGCCTGATTAGAAGAGCTTCTAGGCACAGCTCTCCAGTCCCTGAATCCCCAACTCTCACCTGACTTTTCACCACTTGAGCAACATAATTTTGGGTCTCAGAAGCTGAGGTAACATCAGAAATCCCAGATAATACTGGGGCAGGGACACCTGGAGTGGGGATGGGAGAAAGACTGTAGAAAGGGTAGGAGGCAGAGGAGCTGGAGGCGCACCTGGGTCATACTCTGCAGCATCCAGTACCTGGCCTTTGTTAGACCTCCTCATCCAGAGATGCTTAGAGAGGAGGACAGAGGGAAGGCCTGAGGCTTCCCCTCCTTTTATTGCAAGAGGGGCTGCCCTTCCGGATTCAGGTGAGGTGAACAAGGGTCGTTAGCACCCCTTGAGTGAAGACCCTCTGACCACCTGCTATTTTGTGACCATCACACACCCCATGAGCATCAGCTCCAGGAATGAATCTTCTTCCTGGGTGGTGAGCTGAGCAAGTTCATCTCCAGGGCCAGCCTCTGTGGTGCTAGCAGAGTGGCTAAGAGCAGAAACAAGCTGATGAGTGGGGCCCAAAGCCACAGGGACTGCTCTTTATGAAAGTGAATAAATAGCTGATGAGGGAGACAGCTCAGCCTCACCAATCTGGGTAAGCCCAGGCATCAATCCTGCACCCTTTTGCTGTTCTTCCAAGGCTACTGCAATGGCCTCTTAGGTACAAGCAAAAATAATTTTATGAATGCTCTCTAGAGAGGAGCCCAATCAGTTTTTGCCCCATAATGTTAGTGTCTTCAAGCAGCCATGTTCTCATCTTCAATGGCTCTTAGCTAAAATGAACATCTTTATTTGTATATAGTAACTGATGAGAGTAATTTGCTTCAAAATAGACGTTATGGTTTAAAGGACAATCTATGTGCTTAAAACATTCCAGAAATGCCATAATTAAGCTGTTAAAAGGATATCATATGGAGAATGACTTATATGTGAGAATGTATAACGTAAACCATATTACCTACAATTTCTCTAAATGTTGAAAGTATAAGTATTAGCACGTAAAGGTGATTTATGCAATGTCAATTCCTTAAACCGAAGGTGTTCCACTTACCCATTGCTGCATAACAAGCCACCCACTGCTGGCATAAAGCACCAAAAGTGACCGTTTATCATTATCGTTGTTGTTGTTGTCTATCCTGGGTTTGGGAGGCAGACATAGTTCAATTTGACATTTCTCACTCAGGGCCTCTCAAGTGGCTGTAGTCAGATTACAGTGACTGAGGCTGGAGTCAACTCAAAGCCTTGCTCACTCACATGTCGGGCAGTTGAGGCTGATGGCCAGCTGGTGTATTAAGCATATATTTTATCCTGGTACTTGGACAGCAAGGGTCTTGCTGGCACTAAAGGGACTTCCCCTCTCAGGGCTAGCTGATTCATAGAGATAATGAATGACTTTCATATGCAAACCAACCAGTTCAGAGCCCTGTACCCCAGCCAATCCAGAGCCCTGTACCCCAACCACCTCCTTTATTGAGCTTTTCCAGCTTGGGCCACTTACCTATCTGCTCAGGGAACAGACAACTAGAGACTACCCTTATATTCTAGAGACCACCGAAATTACTCAAGCCAATCCTAAACCTGCTCAGCCTGCCTTTCTTTTCCTTCCCACAGAAACTACAATAAAGACTCTTGCCCACATTTTCCCCTCACTCTCTCTGCCTCCTGACCATCCTTAGCGCTTCCCTGTATGATCCCCCATGGTGTGATGTGCCTTCTGTTTCCAGGGATCTGTGAGGGTAAAAACTTCTTCCTTCAAAAGAGTCATTTCTGTGTCTATGTGTCTTACCACATTTCATTCAAACAGATTGCAGTTACATTTTCAAACAGCTGGGACCTCAGCTATTGGCCAGATCGCTGACATGTGGTGTCTCCACGTGGCTTGGGCTTCCTTACCTTATGACTGTTGGGTTCCAAGGGCGAGCATCCTGGGAGAGAGCGAGCGAGCTAGATAGAAGTTGTATCAACCTTCTAATGACCCTCACGAGTCACTCAGTATCCCTTCTGTCATGCTTTCTTTGTTAGAAGCTAGTCAGTAAAGCCAACCCATCTTCAAGGGAGGGGAATGAGATTTCACCTGTGAATGGAAGAGTGCCAAAGAGTTTGCAGCCATGTTTTAAAACCACCACAGGTGGATTTTATTCATGGATCTATTCACGAGTCCTTAAATAACCAATGAGCTCAGCTTAAGAAGAATAGTTTTGCTCAATTCAGATATTTCCATATGTGGAGATCAGGTTCCATTTTTTAAGTGGTGTCTTTATCACTCATCTTCTACTGTTTCATCATGGCAATGTACATATTTTTAAAATTGTACCTCTTTTGATATTTCACAACTCTTGATGCTGTGATCTTTAATGCCTTAAGTAGGGCTAAATTATTGAAAATAATTTGAAATGGTTTTAAGTCCCAGTTTGAAACTTTATTTTTTCTTCCTGTCAAGCCACTGTCTTAACACAATTTGGAATACTGTGTTCACTTAGAGAATTGACTGTAGGCCAAAATTAAAAACAAAAACAAACATTTAAAAATCAATCAATTAAAATGTAAAAATTAGGCTATGTGGAATGTGAAAAGTGGTTATTAGGATTTTTAGCTGTAGTGTGACTTGACTGACAAGAATTTATGTTTTTCTAATGGAATTGTTGCTTTTATTTTTATTAATTTATTTCATAAAAAGGACTTGAAGAAAATGGTAGAGAGAGCATTCAATCTCCTAACTGATGAGTAAGTGATTAATTCAAAATTCTTGATGACCCATTTTAAGACAGGAGATAGGGAAAGAGGAAGGCTTTTGCATAGTGCTTTGGTTTCACTGGCAAATAATACCAGAGTAGCTAAATCTACTTCAAGAAAATATGATAAAGGCATCAGAAAGGTCAGTCTCAGCATGAGAAAAAGGCAAACCTAGCTGCCTGGAAACTCCTTTAAAAATATCCAAAATTAAATGAACATTAGGGTTTGGAATTAAGGAAGTCAGACTAGGCATAAGAAATGTATAGATAAGTCAATAAAACCAAAGCAAGAAGGGAGATGTCACTTAGTAAAGCCCTGAGCCGAGAGAGAAAACACTCTTCCAAGAAACATCTTAAGAAAACATACAGAAAACCCTCTTCTCATTTTTAGATGGGCTTCATGGGCAGAAGACATCAAAAAGGTGGGGCTTTTGAGTAACGACTTGGTGCCCAGCTAAACAAAAGAATTAGTTTTACATCTCCAGGTTCTGAACGCTTCACCTCTTGCGGAATTTTTCCCATCATTGTGGAGATAATAGCTCTCCTTTTTGTGACTTGATGAAGTGCAAAACAATTCCAGAAGGCTCAACATCGCATTTGATAACACCAAAGAAAATGAAAGCAGAAAGTCTCCTAGGAAGTCAGTCTCTGGCATCCAAACCAGATGGCTTGGTGACGGCCCTCCTCCTCTTGAAGGCTGCAAGAGCATGGCAGGAGTTGGTGTCAGGAGCAGTCTCGCCCAAGTCCCTGTGGCATGAAATCAGAATATGTCCATCTTTTCTTCATCTGGTGAAATAAGGTGTTTTTTAAGCTTTTCTTTATTAGAAACCCTCTTTGTTTTGTTTGTTTGTTTTTGTTTTTTGTGTTTTTTTGTTTGTTTGTTTGGTTTTTGTTTTTTTTTTCTGAGACAGAGTCTTCCTCTGTCACCCAGGCTGGAGTGCAGTGATGTGATCTCAGATCACTGCAACCTCCGCCTTCTGGGTTCAAGTGATTCTCATGCCACAGCCTCCCAAGTGGCTGGGACTACAGGTGTGTGCCACCACACCTGGTGAATTTTTTGTATATTTAGTAGAGATGGAGTTTCACCATGTTGGCCAGGCTGGTCTTGAGCTCCTGACCTCAAGAGATCCACCTGCCTCAGCCTCCCAAAGTGCTGGGATTACAGGCATGAGCCACCACGCCCAGCCTTCATTTTCATTTGTGAGATCAAATGTCTCTATTTCTTCCAATTTTCCCTTAAGTCACGAAGACCAACTCTGGTCTAGATGCTACTGATTCTCTCACAGTTTATATTAGCTGAACAGTTTATATTTGCTTAGACACACAAGGTTCTTTGTTTAAACTGTAGCACTCTTTGCTAATTATTACCTTTAACCCATGAGACACTCTGACCCTCAAGATCTTTTTCCATCCTATTCCAAAATAACAACAACCACTTTCATATCTTTTCTTATATTTATACATGGAGTTTCTGTCCCCAAGTTTTAAAATGCTATAAATTACAGAGAAATTCAGAGCAAATGACATTATATTTTATCTTGTATTAGAGTTTTTTGTGTACATGTCTCATCTTTTCTATTAATTAAAACTCCTAATTGGCAGGAAATATTTATTACTCATTGTTGTGGCTTTTATACTGTTCAGTCAAAAGCCTTGCACAAATCTCTATCAACAGTACATTATGTTGTATCTATGTGTATACTACATATCAACCATCCCATTGTATAATCATTACTCATACTTTTCTCTCTCTCTTTCTTTTTTTTTTTTTTTTTTTTTGATGGAGTCTCTCTCTGCTGCCCAGGCTGGAGTGCAGTGGTATGATCTTGGCTCACTGCAACCTCCGCCTCCCGGGTTCAAGCAATTCTCCTGCCTTAGCCCCACTGACTAGCTGGGATTACAAACATGCACCACCAGGCCTGGCTAATTTTTGTATTTTTAATAGAGACAGGGTTTTGCTGTGTTGGCCAGGCTGGTCTCGAACTCCCGACCTCAGGTGATCTACCCACCTCAGTCTTCCAAAGTGCTGGGATTGTAGGCATGAGCCACTGCGCCTGGCCTCATTATTCATACTTTTCTATCTCCCCACTAGATTGTGTTTCTGTAACCTATTGTGCACACAATAACCGGCACGATGCATGCAGAAAATGTTTTTGAATGACATGTTGGTTGAATAAAACTTGTTGGATGAATGGATAGATGGGTGGATGGATGGGGTAAGTGGACAATGATGGAGGATGGATGGGTGGATAAATGGATGGATGGATGGATTGATGGCTGGATGCATGGATGGGTGAGTGGGGTAGGTGGATGGATGATGGAGGATAGATGGGTGGATAAATGGATGGATGGGTGGGTGGATGGATGGATGGATGGATGGATGGATGGATAGAACATCAACTTGTAATATTAACCAAAAACTTTTTCAGAATAAACTTGAACTTATACAGGTTTACTCTTCTGTCTTCCTTTTAGGCAATCTTAAATCTCGTTAAATGGTTATCCTAAATTAATTTCTAAAAGTCATGACAAAATTTCAGAAACATATTTGTTTACAAATAATGAAGAAGGGTAGCGGAAGGGTGGTGCTGAGGTGACTGTGATGCGGGTGCCCTCCCCACTCTACGGTATGCGCGCACACAGTGCTGTGCCCAGGCTGGTCAGATGCCGCAAGTCTGTGAGCACTAAAATATCCGCAGAAACACATCGCTTCTGTGTTCGTTATTTTCCAAATAACAGCAGCAGAATGCTTTGGGAAGAGGTCGTGAGCGGCGTGGAGGAGGAAGTCGATCTGAAATGCTTGAGGAGGTGGAGAAGAAAAGCCAGAGAGAGCGGAGAGACCTTGGGAAGAGACGGCTGGAGAAGCCAGACGTGAGAATCCAGCGCCCCGCTGCCACCTCGGCCACACGGAGGCATTTCGCGGAGCCTCGGTTCCCTCATTAGAAAAACCGAGGGGTTGAACTGCTTCGTTTTTGAAGTTCCTTCCAGCTCTAAAATGTCTTAGTTGTATGCAAGCCAAAATAAACAAAAAATGGTATCACTTTATGCATATGCTCTTCTAAATATCCCAGTGGGAAAGCACGAAGCCTGTGTTTCCAGCTCGCTGCTTCAGAGATGCCAGTTCACAAGTCGTTCTTTAATCTCGGGGACATTATCTGAATTCCTGATGAAAGTGAGTCGTAGTTGTGTAGGGGCCAGGGTGTGTATGTGTGAGAAGACAGAGAAAGAGCAGGAGAGCGAGAGAAAGAGAGAGAGAGAGAAACAGACAAGAGTAGGTCCTCCTCAATATTTGGACTATGATCCCTGACTACAAGAGAGCACCGCTAGCAACACTATTTCATTCATGATCTGGTTTACTTGGTAATTTTCAAGCCTCTACAATATATTAGGTATAAACATTTCCAAAACATTGCCTCTCCCAATTTCTTTTAACAAGGACGGAAGAATTATCTGCACCCACATGACACCATTCTACTGTATTCTTCACCTCTTTTTTTTCTTAATCCCACAGTACCAGAGACATGCATGTATCTTGTTGTCATCTTTGTTTTTAAACTGTCTTAAAATACAAGCAAAGGAAAAAGTGATCAACAGATTCAAAGAAAGAAGGAGATGCAGTTAACACCGAAGCTGCTTTTTTGTGGGAGCACTTACAAGTCTAAAATAAGAATCTTAAGTGCCATTTGCCTGGAAAAGAGCGTAGCAGGAGACAGATGTTTCTCTCATTATTTTTGTTCAGAGGCACCATTGCTGCTACGACATGTCACCATCCGAGAGGGCCACCAGCAAAGGAAAGGATGGCTGTGCCTTATTTACCCTGTGACTTCCAGCAGGGCCCAGGGAAAACAATTGTAGCTTGCAGTTTTAAAAAAAATTTAGAAGCCATGGCTTTCAGAATAAAGATATTGAGCAATCATCTGTTTCTAATGTCATGAGACAGATCTCACTTTCCTTTCTTTCCAAGTAGTATCTTCTCCTGTTTTTCTTGGTGGAGAGGTATTTTTGTAACATGCTGAAAACTAAGCAGAGAAAATGGGCAAAGTCAAGGTCAGATGTACATCTCTCCTTTAGTCTATTCTGAATCATACATATCATTTTTTGTATGTTCCAGCTAATTCATGTTGGGGCTTTGCTGAACATTAGCACCTCTGGGCATGGGTGATGTTGCTGGGTTTTCTTATTCGGTAAGAGGATAAGCATCTTTTACCGGGTTTGCTCAAGCCCACCCTAGAAAGCCAGGCCCGGGCAGCCCACGGTCCGGGAAATGCTCCATTCTTTCCTGTGTTGGGCAGGATTTCCTGCAAAGGGCCAAGAAAACATACTTTCCCATTGTCTTGGTTTAAACTGTAGAAAGCCCTTGCGTCCACATGGAGACTTTGTTATTTGCTGCCGTCATAACTAAGGGAGATGGACAGGCCACTCTTTGGCACTGTACACAGTCCCCCTGATGGTCACCTTCACAACAAAAGCAAATGAAGAGACAAGGTGTTTCTGTATCTGTTGCTGGGCTCACCATGCCTCACACCTCTCCCATTCACCTAATTGGTAAAACAGGAAGAGCGCAGCTGGAACCCAATGGAAGGAACAAAATATGAACCAACTCACCGGCAGTGCTGCTTGGTTGATTAGCACTCTTGCTTAAGAGCATGTTTATGATCTATCGCTTTATGAATAATAGGAAAGAGTATCAGTGTGTAGAAAAAGTGGAGGAGAGGGCCAGAAATGACCCTCTGAATCTTGAAGGGACAGTCTCAAAGTCTTGCCTATAAGGGATTAGCAATAGGGAGCCAGCGGATGGATTAATGATCTAAGATATGAGATGCCAGCAACTAACAATGGGAATAACAGTAGAAGCAGTGAGCAGGAAATCTTGGCTATGACTCTCAAACTCAACAGATCTGAAGCTCTGTCCACCGCAATCCAGAGCTGTACCACAGGCATCTCTCAGCTGGAGCTCCCGTATTATTCAACCACTGTCTTCCCACTCCCTCAATGTACTTGAAGCAGCTTGCACTACCATGACTCTGCAGGAAATGTGTGTGGCTGTTTAGAGATGAACATCCGCAGTGAATACATCGGAGCTGTTTGTCAGGTCAATCCTTCGCAGAATGGCTCCATTAAGAAGCTACATTTCAAGGGCTTCTTTCCTTATCTCTCAGAACAACCCATTTGCTATGGTCCTGAGTGCACAGCAGAAGTCAATGCCTCCCAGAATACTGGGAATTCAAAAGCCTTCTAAAAAGGCTTCTAAAAACGCTCAAAATGAAAGTAAGTGATCCAGAAAAATATTCTCTGTAGAGTTGCAGGTTGGTTTTTGACAAAAGATTTGCCTAGCTTCTGGCAAGCATTAATGGTGGTAATATGTCAGACAAACAAACAAAAAGGAAAAGCAGCATAGGAAACGGGTGTAAGGATCTTTTCACAGTGTCATGGCAGCTGTGAAACACACCCAGCTGTTTCCTAGATTGGAGAGGAAAACAACCCACTGGTCCCATCATCACTAGTGGGGCCCCATGACACTCTTATCTGATCAATTAATAAAGTCACCAGAAGGAAGCTACAAGGCTAAGAATAGTGTTTCAGATAAATCCCAAAAGTCAGCTGTAAGTTAACTCCAGTCTGATGAATCCTCCATTAATACTATTAGGATGGGGGAAAAATCCCTTATTTTTTATTATCATGCATATTTTCAGAAATGTTGGTTAAATTAGGCAGTGATGAATTGTCTCAGAATAATTCTATGCACACATGTGCATACACACACACACACACACACACACAGAGTGGTGTCTAGGAAAGATGACTAGAATAGAAAACTAGATCCCCATCCTCCGACGAGTTCATGGTAAGGTATCAAGTCTGCATCTCCACCAGCTTGGCTGAATTGAATAGGTTTAGGAGCATTCAGTTTAATGTATTCTGTTGAAGGCACTGTTCCAGATTCTGCTTTTTTCTACCGAGAAGTTACATAAAGGAGCTTGCATCCTCATCATTGAAAACACACACAAAATTTATAAAATACCACAATCCAGGCAGAATATTAGAAGGACCTAAAGGTAAAAATGGTATCATTTCATTTATATAAAGTACAAAATAGTCAAAACTAATCTATGCTATTAAAAGTCAGAGTAGTAACTCTTTGGGGAATAGGGGTGAATGATTCCAAGGGGCTTCTGGGGTGCTGGTGTTTCTAGCGTAAGAAACAACTAAATCTTGCAGTGACAAAGAAATTAAGGCCCACAAGAAATTCAGTCTCGTGAGGAAAAGACAAAAAACTAAATGAATGGGGCAAGGTTTCCTAGGGAATTCATGGGTGAGCCTTGGGAGAACATTATTTTTCTTCGATCTGCCTTTTTGTTACTTTGATAATTGCTTTCATTAAAAATAGTGTTTGATGGCTGAGTGCGGTGGCTCATGCCTATAATCCCAGCACTTTGGAAGGCCAAGGATCACTTGAGTCCAGCAGTTCGAGAGCACCCTGGCAACATAGGGAGACCCCCATCTCTACAAAAAATAATAAAAAAAAAAAATTAGCCAGGTGTGATACTCTGTGCCTGTGGTCCCAGCTACTGAGGAGGCTGGGGTGGGAGGATCGCTTGAGCCCAAAAGGTCAAGTCTGCAGTGAGCTGTGATTGCACCACTGTACTCCAGCCTGGGTGAAAGAGCAAGACTCTGTCTCTTAAAAAAAAATCGTGTTTAATATCAATCATGTTATTAAGATATTTTGCTTCAAACAAGTACAAGGGATTCCATTGTACATGGTCAAGTAAGGTAAAAGTAATCATTATTACCATGATATGGCACTGAGATTAGTGTCCTATAGATCATAACGAAAGGAAGTATAACCTGACATCTCTACCTTTTCACATAGGCCCAAGTTCAGTTAGGGGAAATGTCATGGAAAAGAAACAAATGATAAGTCTTCCATGTCTTTATTTCTACTTTCACTATTGAACATCAGGAGATACAAACGCCACAGTGCTCCTGTGTGGCCTGGATCCTCCTGGTGAAAGCACAAATCCAGCAAAACTGTCCAGCCGCTCAACAACATCGGGCAAGGTAGTTATTTTTGGCGGGAACCTTACCAAAACGCAGCTTCACTTCAACACAAAACTTTGTTTTCATACATTTCTCCAAGATGTTTATAATATTCCTTAGGAAAAGAATTCACACACAATTATGAAAACTTTGTCCTGGAAAGTAGTTAAAAGAGATATAGTTTGGATCAGAGAAGGAATATTAAAACAGTATTCCTGTCAAATAAAGTCATCTACTTCAGAATCACCAGCATTTCTTTCTATTATTTGATGAAGGTCGTGGAAGAATTGGCTAATAAGCCATTTCCCTTGAAGATAGTTATTGAAGTCTTTCAACACATCTACCTTTTGATTTTTGTCCATTAGGTGCACACTGATGCTATCAGAGAATTCCTATGCTGTCAGTCTTTTCTGGAAACCTCAAAGGCCATTGACATCTCCAAAACTGTAAAAGAGTTTTGTTGCCAAACAAAAGCCTGACTTGGACACAAAATCTTGATACTTGTTGAATTTATGATGCACATGCTATGCTTAGCATCAATGTACCTGGTTTTACTTCTCTGGTACATAAAGAAACACCACATCCCATCGCGTCTCATTGCTTTTGATGTTGGCATGTGCTCACCTCTAAGACTTGGCTGATGATTTTGAAATTGTGTTCACCACTGCTTCACATTTGATAATTTCATCAGTGTCAGAGCCTTGAATTATCCATTAGCTATCTAAAAGACTTTTGTCAAGAATGTAAAAGAGACTACGACATTCTTCCTTAATCCACATAAGCTCAGCAACTTTCCAAATGGCAAGTCTTGAAGTATTTGGTTTAACCTCAAGCACAAGGTGTTTTGTTGTTGTTGTTTGCTTGTTTGCCTTAAGAAAAAAGAAAGGTTCTCTACTAGAACATAGAATAGATTATTCATGGGCTTGAGTTACTTGGTGGATAATTCTTTCCATAACATTGATATTGATCTTTCCATTCAAGACCCTACATCATGATCTTCGGTGCCATCACTCTGGAAGAAGACAACGTGAGCAGACAACTATGTAAATGTTCTAGTTCTAAAGGAAGGGTTCTGTAGCTTGAAGACTCAAGGGTTCTGTAGCTAAATGGTATCAATGTCTTTGAAGGAAAATAACCTATCTGTGGTAGTCAGCCTCTAAAATCATTCTCTGTCATTCTCACCTCTTTGCATTCGGACCCCTGTGTAGTCCATGCCTACAATAAGTAGTGGCAATCAGTGGAACCAATAGGATACTATAGAAATGATGGTGTGTCATTTCTGAAGATAGGTCATCAAGGACATCTGGATTCTATATTTACTTATGTTGATTGTTATTAGCATCCATTTCTAAGTATACTATTTTGTAAAGTTACACCTCCCCCCTCATTCAGGCAATGCATCTTTTCTGAGCCCTATAGCTCCCAGTGGCATATCTGGCACCCACTCGCAGGAAATCAGTGTAACCAGCAAAGGGACTGGGGAAAAACACAAAGTAGCTGAGCTGCAACAACTCTGCCTAGTGACAGAGTATCACGGGAGTTCCCTGTGTCTGCTCTGAGGTTGCCCAATTCTGCCTGACCCCCAGTTAGAGAAGAAATCTGTTTAAAAAGAATCACTGAGATTAAGATTTCAAGTCAGGGCTTTATGTCTACTTTTTGTGTAAAACAGCAACAAATTTTGGGTAGGTATGGGGTAAATAATTTTTAACCTTTTTCCTAGACTGCAAGATATTTCAATATGCTCAAGCTTTGCATTTTGCTGTCATTAATTAGCGGGGACATCTGCATTAACACAGGATCATTAATTTATGATCTAGTAGATCTTTTCCACCTCTCACTTCACTGATGAAAGAGAATGAAACAAAAAGGAACTGTTTGATCAAGACTTCTCCCACAGATTTAAAAGATGGCCCTTGAATAACATTAAAGATATTGATTTTGCTGTTGTCTGTTTAGTTTGCTGTGAGATAAACATATTAACCAAAAATGAAGGCATTAAAATTCAGATTTTTGTATTACTGTCTGCTAAATCATTAACATGAAAGCATATTGTCATACTCTTTAAATTCTAAATAAAACCAAATGTCAATAATGTCAACCGAAGGTGTACCATTTCTTGAAACTAAAATCACAGCTTCCTCTAAGGGACTGTCAGAAAATATAACTGAAATGATAAATAGTTCTGTTGTACTTACTCACTTAGGCCACATCCTCATCTTTCCATATTCACTTTCTTCTCTGTCTTGGTTTGAGTCTTGCTGAGTTTTCCTGATGCAACATGTTCTAGAGGCACTCAGAGTCATAATTCCAAACAGAATCCTCAGAAACAAAAAGTAACATGTATCCCAAGTAGATTAGTCTCCTATTGCCGCTGTAACAAATTATCACAAGCTCAGTGGCTTAAAACAACACACATGTATTGCCTTACTGTTCTGCAGGACCAAAGTCTGGCACAGGTCTCACTGGGCTAAAATCATGGAGCCCAGGAGTTTGAGACCAGCATGGGCAACACAGTGAGATCCCATCTCAAAATAAAAAATAAAAAAAAACTAGCCGGGCATGGTGGTGCATACCTGTGGTCCCAGCTACTCAGGAGGCTGAGGTGGGAAGGATCACTTGAGCCCAGGAGGTCAAGGCTACAGTGAGCCATGTTTGTGTCACTGCACTCCAGCCTAGGTGACAGAATGAGAACCTGTCTCAAAAATATAAAAAATTTAAAAATTTAAAATAAAGGAAACCATGGTTTCATAAGGCTCTGATTCTTTCTGGGGCTTTAGCAGAGAGTCCATTTCCCAGCCTTCTCCACTTTCTAGAGGATGCCTGCATTCCTTGGCTCATGATCCCTTTCTCTGTTTTCAAAGCCAACAACTTTGAGTCCTTCTCATATCACATCACTCTGACCCTTGCTCTGTAATCACACCTCCTCTAGGCTCTTCTTCTGCCTCCCTCTGCCACTTTCAAGAACTTCTGTGATTACATTGGGCCACCTGCATAATCCAGGATCATCCCCCATCTCCAGGCCCTTAATTTAATCACACCTGCAAAGTCTCTTTTGTTGTGTAAGGTAATATATTCACCAGTTCAGAGATTAGGATGCTGACTTTGTTTGGGGGTGAAGCATTATCTTGCCTACCACAGTAATTTTTAGGGTGTCTAAAAATAATATTCTTTAGGATACAGTGCCTTCTCCCTCCTGAAAATTTGTGTTTCTAAGTTATAAGAAGCCCATGAAAAATCAAGAAATAATCCTATTTACAGTAACTACAAAAAAAAAAAACACTTAGGAATAAATTTAAGCAAAGAGGCGAAAGGCATCTATACTAAAAACTACAAAACATTCATGAAAGAAATTGCACAAGATTCAGATAAATGAAAAGATACCTCATGTTCATGGATTGGAAGAGTAAATGTTGTTAAAATGTCCATACTACCAAAACTAATCTACAAATTCAATGCAATTTCTATTAAAATACAGATATAGTTTGCTTGTTTGTTCCCTCCAGATCTCATGTTCCAATGTGATCCCCAATGTTGGAGGTGGGATCTAGTGGAGAGTGTTTCGGTCATGGGGCCAGATCCCTCGTAAATGGCTAGCTACCCTCCCCATGGTAATGAGTGAGTTCTCTCTATTAGTTCATGTGAGAGCTGGTTGTTTAAAAGAGCCTGACATCTCTCCTGTTCTTTCTTTCGCCATGTGACATGCCTATTCCCCTTTTGCCTTCCATCATGAGCAAAAGCTTTCTGAAGCCTCCACCAGAAACCAAGCAGATGCCAGTGTCATGCTTCTTGCACAGCCTGCAGAATCATGAGCTAAATAAATATCTTTTCTTTATAAAGTACCCAGCCTAAGGTATTCCTTTATAGCAATGCAAGACAGACTAATACAAATGCCAATGAAATTCTTCACAGAAGTATAAAAAACAATCCTGAAATTCCTGTGGATTCACAAAAGACCCCTAATGGACAAAGCAATTTTGAGCAAAAAGAACAAAGCTAGAGGCATCACACTACCTGACTTCAAAATATACTACAAAGGTATAATAACTAAAACAATATGGTACTCATTTGTTTTTATGGAGGAACAAGAAAAAGAAAACCAAAACAAAACAATATGGTACTGACATAAAAACAGGTACATCAACCTATGGAATAGAATAGAGGGCCCAGAAATAAATCCATGCATTTATAGCCAACTGATTTTGACAAAGGTGCCAAGGACACACAACGGAGGAAAGAACAGACTTGTCAATAAACAGTGTCAGAAAAACTGGATATCCACATGCAGAAGAATGGAACTATACACATCTCTCACTATACACATAAATAAACTCAAAATGGATTAAAGTCTTAAGTGTAAGACCCGAAATGATGAAACTGCTGGGAGAAAACATAGAGAAAAAGCTCCAAGACATTGGTCTGGGCAATGATTTTTTGGATATGACCTCAAAATCACAGGCAGCAAAAACAAACATAGACAAATGGGATGACATCAAACTAAAAAGCTTCTGCACAGCAAAGAAAACAACAGAGTGAAGAGATAACCTACAGAATGGGAGAAAATATTTTCAAGCTATACATCTGATAAGGGATTAATAACCAAAATATATAAGAAACTCAAACAATGCAATAGCAAGAAAAGAAATAACCCGATTTTAAAAATGGACAAAAGACCTGAATATACATTTCTTAAAAGAAGACATACAAATAGCTAACAAGTATATGAAAAAAATACTCAACATCACTAATCATCAGGGAATGCAAATCAAAACAACAATGTGATATCACTTCATTATTGTTAGGATGGCTATTATAAAAAAGACAAAAGATAGGAAGTGTTGATGAGGATGCGGAGAAAACAACACTCACACACTGTTAGTGGGAATATAAATCAGTACAGCCATTATGGAAAACAGTATAGAGGTGTCTGAAAACATTAAAAATAGAATTACCATATGATCCAGCAATCCCACTATGGGTTACCTATCCAAAGGAAATGAAATCAGTATGTTGAAGAAATATCTGCACTCCCATGCAGCACTATTCACAATAGCCAAGATATGGAAGCAACCTAAGTGTCCATCAGTGGATGAATGGATAAAGACGATGTGGTATCTATACATAATGGAATACTCTTCAGCCATAAAAAAAGAATGAAATCCTGTCATTTGTGACAACATGGATGAATCTAGCAGATATGTTAAGTAAAATAAGCTAGGCACAGCAAGACAAATAAGACGAATCCTGCATGACCTCACTCATATATGGAATCTAAAAAAGTTGATTTCATAGAAGTAGAGAGTAGAGTGGTGATTAGTAGAGACTAGGGTAGTTGAGGGGAAGAAGGCAGGCAGAGATGTGGATTAAAGCATGCATATTTACAGTTAGACAGGAGGAACAAGTGCAAGAGATCTATTGTACAGCAAGGTGACTGTAGTTCATGATGATATATTGTTTTCTTGAAAACTAAGAGAGTGAATAGAGTTCTCACACAAAAATAACTACGTGAGGTAATGCATTTGTTAGTTAGCTGGATTTAGCTATTCCACCACATATATATACTTCAAAACGTCATGTTGTATGTGATAAATACATACGGTTTTATGTCTATTTAAGTAAAATAGATACATTTTTTAAAGAGTGGAAGGATAAAAAAGAAGCAAATGAATACCCTCATATCTGCACCCACTAAAGTATCACACAGACAGACCATGGCAGCCAACAGCAGGGGTCTGCGCTTTCTTCGCAACAAACTTCCTGATGATCTGAGCATGAAAAGAAGATCAGGGAACACACAATCCATGAAGCAGCCCTATCTAGAGAGGGAGCTTGCATCTCCCAGTGCTATTGTTGCTACTATTTTTAAGGTTCCATGGAGTTATCAAGCATTAGTCCCATAAGTGTTGCTGTTATACTTAGGAATTATTAGAATTCAAAACTTAAGAATTATTATAATTAATTTTTAACTATAAAAATTAATAGTATTTGAGCCATAGGGAAGAAATGCACATCTTAAATGTGTTACACATGAAAGAAATAAGGAGGACGCCAAGATTTCTTTCTATTTAGCATGATTCTTTTCTCTCTCCCCAAGAGGCAGGCATATAATGGATCCACATTTTGAATTACGTTAACCATGTTCTTCCCAACAGTCATTATTTATAGACCTAAGCAAGCAATACATTACTTAACCATGCCTTTTTCCTACTAATACTTATGTTTTCCTACTGAAATTCATATTTTCTTATTTATGTGATATATAAGTGGTATTTTATGAAATCGGGACAGTTGCATCACTCTGACCGTATGGTATGGGCTCAGTGATTTCATACATACATGAAATTCACCCAATTTTCATCAGATTAGAAAAAATAAATGAAAATGAAATAGCTGCAATGACAAAGCTGTTTAACTGGCCAAAAGTTTCTCTCAAATCTACATTCCACATGTGAATTTAGTACACCTAAAAATGTTACCTGGAATTCTAAAGATGAAATAAGATGAAACAGGGTTCATTTGGACTTCTTAGATAGGAACCAGGGCAAAAGTGAGTAAAGGAAGATTTATTTCTCCACTGGGCAAATGGCACAGATTTCCTTTTGATGGTCAACTCTTTCCAACACAGAAGGAGCCCTGGTGTTGCAAACTCCACCCTTGATCGTAAACATACGTAAAGTTACAATAAGGATAAATCTAAGACATGTGCTGCCCACATTTTTCTTCCTATTAAAGCATCCTGGACAAATGAGAAGGAAAGACGGAATATTTTTTCAAATCCTACAGGTGGTTTCAGTTACTCTATATGTTTGTGTAATTGCTCAAATGTTACCTACATAATATTGAGAGCAAATAATCTTTTGTAAAGTTTTTTAATCAGCATTGAATGCAGCCTGCACCCTCTTTAGCATAAATCCCTTTTTCTGCATGCAAAAGCTGAAATATGCCGTGTTCCTGTCTTACCCTTTGCCATCCAGTCTCAAGAAGCTGGATCTGACAAGCATAGCATTTTTAAAAAGAAGGGGGGGTGGTTCAGGCAGGGGACTGCCACCAGCTGTTGCTAATAAAACAACTGCAGCCCCTCCACTGGTAGCTTCCTCCTCTGACTTCATATCCCTGTAGTGATGGCAGTAATTGGGCGGGGGGTTAAGGGGGCATTTCTCTCTCAAGGGACACAATAAGAATATTAATATTAATGCAATATCTGCTCCTTCAGATGGGAATGGATAAGATGAAATGATTTAAAGGAGGCTTGATCAATCATTCCGTTTCTTGGCAAGAAAATGATGCCTTTGCATTTAAGAGAGAACATCTGGGGAGAATCACTGTGGTTAAAAGAGCTGGGTGGTTGGCAACCCAAAATTCACCTTGAGAGAGTGAGACTTTCCCTTCACTCTGAGACCTCTGGCTCTGCTGGGGGCAAAAGCAAGGCTTTGAAGTTCTTGCCTTGAAAATCCATGCTTACCTTTCGGCATTTTTTCTTTTTTTGTGACCTTGCTGCTCACTGAGAGTCTAGGAAGGCAGCTGGGGTAGCTGGTTGACTTGTCTGATTCTGAAGAAAGGATGACTGCCCTGAGAACCTCTCTGACTCGGTGACCCTGGATCTGGCCCATGAACCTTTTTCTGCTCCCAGGGTGGCTTGAGAAGTGTCTGCAAACCAGGAGCCTTTTGGAGCGATGTGGACAGTGAGTCAAATCTTTCAGAGTCCGGGAGAGTCAAGAGGTGGCTGCTCACTTATGATCAGGGCACTAGTGAGGCTGCCACACAAAAGGACCCTGCACATAGCAAATAGATGTGGGTTTCTTAAGACTAAATATTTCAAGGTTTTGCTACTGAAAGCACAAATGAAGTCTTGTGTAGGAGACAAAGATGTGTGGCCTCCGGGAGGGGGTGGGGACACTGATCCTTCTACTGTTCTCTCTTGGAATAGTGACGGCGCCAGCATGAGACATCTGTGACCTGCAACCCCCTTGCCAGATGCTAGATGGCCAGCAGTTAACCAGAGAAGCGACCTTTTCAGTGACATCCTCGCCACCTATTCACTCCCTGCAGGAAGGCTTTTGGGAGTCAGAGCTGGGGATACAGAGGAAGGTGGGCCTCATTAGGGCAAAGTCAGCACACAAAACAAATTTGGAGGATTACGGGAAGGCTAAGGCACTCAACTCCAAGTCAACAGAGGAGGTAAACATTCAAAGAATCTTTCCAACTTAATATGAGTTTTCAAGATCAAAGTTGCATCCTAAGAGATATACCCCATTTTCCAGAACAGCGTTCACCCACACGGAACTCATTCCTTTATATTTATTTGTAATACCTTAATTGTCCAAACCCCTTAAGACACTCTTTGCTATCCTTAATGTAGTGAGGTTGATCCTAGATCAGAATCTCTGGCAGAGCACCCTGGGAATCAACTCATCAGTTATCATCATTCTTAGCACTCTCCTTTTCCATTATTCCCTGCATCTTTCATATGTTATTGCAACATGCATTCTTGCTAAGTATTTAAAGTGTCACTGACATCACCAAGGAGCACTTCCATATGCACAGTGGCACATGATGTGACATTCCTTGTTGTTAAAAAAGAATTTTCTTGTTTTCCCCATTAGAATGTAAACTCCATAATGTCACTGAGTCCTCAGTGCCTAGAACCGTGCCTGGCATATAATAGGTGTTTAATACATATCTGTTGACCAAATGAACTAATGAATGAACATGGATCTATTTTCCACCATCTAAGAGCACAGAGCCTAAAAAGACACTACACAGATGACCAAAAGCAGAAGGCTGACAGCGTTAGGCAGTAGAAAGCTGGCCGAGTTTCATTTCATAAGATGATTGATTCGATTACTATTGTTGTTCCATTTTGGGACCACGAGCAGGTGAGATGCTTCAAAGCCCTTCATGGGAACATGCATCCATACACGTGGTTTCTAAAGAAACACCATTCTACTCTTTAGTACATTATGTTATTGCTATGGAAACAGCGATATTTTAAAGAACACTGGAACTTTCCAAATACAGTATTTATTCTTCTTGTACTAGCAAAATAATGTGTTTCGCCTAAGAACTTGTTAGGTGCCCTGCAGCTAAATATAAAGAGACAGATTCTCATCATGTGTAAGTCTAGGGAAAAATTTGGACCACCAGCTTTTCGAGATACATTTTAAAATAAACTCTGCAAAACTCTAGACATAATTGGGGCCTTCAATGAAACACTTAATATGTTAGATTTGTTTCTGAGTTAGAAAAACTATTTATATTTGAACCCCAGTAACACCCTGTGCAGAATTACAAGCTGGCATTGCCTTTGGACTTCCAGAAGACCAACTTTACTTCTTTCTTTTTCCTTACTTCATCCATACCTGCATCAGTGTTCAGCTGGCTATGTGGTCCTACCTTTCTTGTACAGATGTCACTTTTTTTTTTTTTTTGACGGAGTCTCGCACTGTTGCCAGGCTGCAGTGCAGTGGCGTGATCTCGGCTCCCTGCAACCTCCACCTCCCGGGTTCAAGCGATTCTCCTACCTCAGCCTCCTGAGTAGCTGGGATTACAGGCGCCTGCCACCACACCTGGCTAATTTTTGTATTTTTAGTAGCGAGGGGGTTTTACCATGTCAAGAGACAAGGTTCTCCATCTCTTGACCTCTTGATCTGCCCACCTCAGCCTCCCAAAGTGTTGGGATTACAGGCGTGAGCCACCACGCCCGGCCCAGATGTTACATTTTAACCAAGAGGTTATGAGACAAAGCACGAACCCGTACCTAGGCTTTGACAGCAAAAGAGAGAAAGGGCACTAAATAGGATTAGATGAGTGTTATCAAAGTGCCACTCAATGCTAGTTCACATACATGGAAATTCAGTATCATTAATAATATCCACTCGTACAATTTTGCCTTCTAACTGATCTATTTTTAAAGCAAACCTAGATAGATGCATTTTTAAAATCTGCTGATAAGAAATTAGGAGCAATATGTTAAGATGTACATTCCCAGCATTGTAGTGATCATAATTTCTCCCTTCTATTATGTGCAAAATTGATAGCGTTTTAACGTTTGTTTTTAGTTTCAGTCATTCATGTGCCTCTTCTTCCCTAGTGATGGAAAGAACACAGACTTGGAGTCAGCGAGACCTAGGTTTGCCTTCCGCCTTTGTCGCGTGAGAGCTGTTTCCCTGGAGCAAATTTCCACCTCCTTCAGCTTCACTCAGTTTCCATCTCACAGAGTTGCCCTGAGGACTAAATGAGAACACATATGAAGGACCTAAAACAGGTCTCAGTAAACATGAATTTTCTTCTTTTCCCTGAAATTATAAAATAACCATTGCATATCTTTTTATTTTTGTCAGCCTGTAAAGTGCAAGGGTCTTTGAAACTTTCAGCAGTTGAAAGATTTTAGAATCATGTTTCCATGGACATAGTTCACTTTAACCAAACAATTCTCCTGATAGTAATTTTAGCTCAGGTAAAAGATAAACACTCATTTGACAAAATGTATTGCTCATATTTTTATAATTTGTAAAGATGTGTCATCTTCTAAGCAAGAGATCAAAGGACTTTACAGGTAAAACATACTTGCAATCTGTAAGGATATAGTTAACTATTGTATTTAATTGATAGGTAAACTACCTTGCATATTCTGTCTACCTTCATGAATGGTGAGTATGTGGTAAACGTACCCCACTCTCCTCTTCTGCAACCTTACTAGCTGTCACAAGTTGACCACAACACCATTTCCTGTTGATCCCCCAAATTTTCAGTACAGTACTCCAAGCAGCCACCACCAAGCAGGAGTTGGTTTATTAGTTTAAATCTATCTATCTTCCTTGAGTTAGACTGTTTTCCAAGTGCTGGCTACATTAAAGATGTATTTACATAATAGAACCCAAAGGTTTATTTGCATACCTCTTTTCTATTGAGTTTTAATGTATTTACATAATAGAACCCAAAGGTTTATTTGCATACCTCTTTTCTATTGAGTTTTAGGATATCTTTGAAAATTTACTTATTCAGCTTTTTAAATTGGGCCAGGCACAATTAAATTCCCAATACACTAACCCCCGGAGAGAAATGATTTCCTGAAAATTCTTCCTCCCTCCTATTCAGAGAAAATAATATGCACCCAGTTCTCCAAGAGCTCTCTCCACCCCAGCACTGGGCCCCATCTTTCTACTTACCGCATTTTACCTTTGCTCCCATCTCCTCCTGCCTGCTCCATGACCTGGCTCCATCAAGTTTCTGCCTTCTGTCTCTATCTTTAGTGTTCCCTTCTGATCTTCTCCCACTCAGATTTCATAGGAAATTACCATCCTATCTGGCTCCTCCATCACCAACACATGATTCCTGATGTCAGCTGACCCTCAGGGCTGCCCCACACTTCTACATAACCACAGTTGGTTCTGTTCTCCATCCACTTCATCAGAGCTTCTAAATCTTCTCAGCCTCCACCTCCTGGCTCCTTTGACTCAACAGGAGCCAACCTGTCATAGAGAACTATGGGTGCATTAGGTGTGGACTATCTCCGCTGCCCTGAGCTCTGCCTGTTCCTCTGCATCTACTCGTCTTGGCTTGGCCTCAACTTCTTCCTTAATGAGGTCTCTGCCTCCCCTTGGCCCCTGTGTCCCTCATCTTATCCCAAACACTATGCCATTATTTTCCTACCTCTCGCCTGACACACCTTTGCAATCTTTTCTTGCATGAATTCCCTTGAACCTAGAAATGAGACCAAGAGAATTCCTCACAAAAATAAACTAGCAAGCAAGCAATAACAAAACGGAAAAAAAATAGAACTTAACACTGCCAAAATGCTTGGAGTTTCACATAAAAATGTGGGCTTCATCTCACCTCTATGTGCTTTCCATCTTGCTCGCTCTCCCTGGGGTAAAATTTTACCTATTTCTTTGCATCCAAATGCTGCCCACTCTTTTTTTTTTTTTTTTTGACAGGGTCTTGTTCTGTTGCCCAGGCTGCAGTGCAGTGGTGCAATCACAGCTCACTGCAGCCTTGACCTCCTGTGCTCAAGCAATCCTCCCACTTCAGCCTCCCAAAGTGCTGGGATTACAGGCATGAGCCACCACACCTAGTGTCTGCCCACTCTTTAAGACTCAAATCAAATTTATTTTCCTTCCCAACATTCATCCCCAAATGCAAATAGCCACCTGCTTCCCTGGACTTCAGTAGCAACCTATGCCTCTCTTACTGACCTCATCTCTTTTTTCTTCTTTGTATCGCAATTACCGATACATCTGATCTCATTACTGCTGGAAGTTAAAATAAGTTCCACAGAGTGCCCAAAATCGTGATTATAGATAGTAGGTACTTACTTAGCAATGGCCACTTTAGAGGGGCGAGAAATCTGATGCACAAAAGCCTTAGCAACATACCTTAAATCACGAAGCTTGCAAGTGGCAAGGTTGCCACCAATTTTAGTGTTCTTTCAACTCCTTATACACAACATTCTGCTTCAATCGGATCACTATTATACAACTTCTGTGCTCTGTAGCAAGTTTCTTTGAATATCTGCCTTCTGAAGACTTTTCAGTTGATTTCATGTTGCACACAGTAGGAGCTAAATCATTGTTGAATGAATCAGTAAGTGAACAAGTTTGGGATGGTGATATTCATAAAGCTTAAATTTGTTATGGGTTAAAAAAAAAACAATCAGAAGTGTTTGGAGAGTGGGAACATCGGGGAGGGTAACATTGCTCCCTGCCGGCGGCATGCTCATGGGAGCCAAGTGTGCTGTTTGCTGTGGACCCTCGGACTGCTGATAAGCAGTTGTCCCTCAGCCCAACCACAAGGCTCCATTCTCTTTTGTTTTGCTACATTTCCATATTTAGGATTTTGACAATTTAACATATTTTTAAAAATTTAACATAAATGCCATTTCCCCTGAAATCTAGCTGTCAAATTCTGATTCTTAAGGTTAAAGATAAAAAAAATTATCAGTCATAAGGAAAATTATTCGATGATTTATTTCAGCCCCCAAATTTCACACCAAGGAAGCATCTACCGATGTTGAGCCAGGAGATCAACTCCAGATGATTAAAGAAAACTGCTCAAGGACATTTTGTTAGCTACTTTTCATAAGGTCAGGTAGAACATAAATTCCAATATATGCACAGCTGGGGGCAACCCTGCCGAAGAGAATTTGGGTGGCTTTGTTGCTTTTCGTGTTATTTATAGTAACTGATGTTCACCTGGATCTAAGTTTTATTCTCTTTGGCAATGATAGGATTATGTAAAAATCCTATAGCACCACAGGTATTCTTGGGAGATCAAAGTACAACCCATGGGTAATAAGCAGTTTGCAAGTGCTGAGGAATGTACACTTTGTTATTGGATGGGACAATTTGTGATTCTGAATAGGGCCGGTGAAAACATTCACTTCAACCCAGAAGAAGATTCTATTATGCAAAGAATGTAAGAGCTCTATTGCACCTTTAACAAAAAAAAAGAGGTTTAGTAGCAGATAACCACACTCCAACAAGAAAAGAAGAGTGTTAGCCCTCAGCAGAATTTTTCAGTAATTGCTTCACCGAAAAGGCTCTAAATAATCACGTAAAGGTAAACTGAAAGATATAAAGGAATGATTGAGCACATTTAGGTGGGGCAGCTAATGCCTGGTTGTGTTTGTTTCTTATTCCTCACTGAAAAACAGGAGTTGTGTTTCATATCTGTGAGAAGGAGCTATAGGACTCCATACAGAGATTAAAATACATCATAATTGCTTCAGTCAAATGAGCATACTTTATATATAAAAAGGACCTGTAAGTATAATTTAGGCAGTTTTGCATGGAAATGAAGTATCAGTTACAACTCCAGTTTCCAACTACCTTATACAAATTGCCTCCCCAAAATGGATATTTTAATCTCTAATTTATTAAAAGATGAAATGTTGGAATGTTGGATAGATTGAAATCATTTGTCAGATCACGAAGTCCTCATAACATTTCTCAGCCTTAATAACACATCTGCTCTTAGAATGTGGTCTCTTGATAATAGCTGTCTGAAAGTGTCTGAATTTAGGGATTATTTGAGACAACAGATTTCCTTCTATTTGGAATTGAATGAGGCATCTGCTCCCTCACCGTTAGCTTTGTGTGATAGTCTCAAGGCATTCATAAAAGGGCAGATCATTTTGAACATTATAAGAGGGAAAAAAGACCTCTGTTGACAATATGAGATTCAGAAAGAGGAATTAAGAAACTTTAAGGGTTGTATTTTATGTTTAAAAATGTTATTCCATAGTCTGTTTTGCAATCTGGAGAGAACATGGTAGCTAGAACTAGAGTAATGCAATCCTCCAAAACCAACAATTTAGAAAAAACGTTCATAGAACGCTAAGTAGAAACTCACAAATTTTTATCTAATTTGATTCAGTACAACCAACAGAACTCAGTGGAAATGGACAACCGTGATCATTCCAAAGACCATATGCCAAATGAAGTGTCCAACTGCAAGACTAGACTAAACTGAATGAAAAATACTACATAAAAATTACCTTCTCCATTTCACTTGCAAGAGAAAATACTCCAAAAGAGGAAACCATAGCAAAACCTTTCTGCAAGTTCAAGGACTAACTACAGATACAAAGAAATGCAGGTGAAGCGCTCAAACAACTTTGAAGGATCTTGACTGATAAGGAAGAAGCCAGGATTAGGCTTTTTTAATTTTGTAATTTTAATTACAAACTTACCATTTATATTTGGGCAGATTCATTTCTACATGATCGTGTTGCCCTTTTATTTCTACACACCCACAAAAATATTCTTTACATTTAGAAAAAAGTAAAAGGAAAATTTGCATGTCATCATCCTACAGATAGCTTCACAGATGGCATTAATGGATTCATATCAACAATGAGAAAACATTTTTGCTTATCAAGCTACACTCTTCCATGAATTAGCCCATATTACATGCACATATACAAACATATACACAAATAATACATAGATTAAATATAAAATGGCATTTTTACTAGAGTAGATCCTCAGATTGTATAACTGTGTGAACAGGAGTATAATCAAAAAACATAAAAATTGAGCCTTCCCTGAAAAAATACAGCTGTCGTATCACTGACCACATAGGACAACACACAGACATTTTGGAATAACCAAAGGTGTTATGAGAAACACCTCCCCAATTGTCTTCTGTTTTCTCAGGGTGTCCTTATTGATCTTTCTGTTCCATTTGACACCACTGACTACCCTCCCTTTGGGAACCTTTTTGCCTTTGGACTTTCTGTGACGCTATTATATCTTGGTATCTCTTGGACAATTCTTCCCTGAATGCAGATGCTTTTCCTCCCCAGAGGAGTTCTCAACGGGCCGGGGTTGGAGGGTCAGAAAACATATTCTGTTTAGATATGTGTGGGGCCTTTTCCAGTTGTCCCAGTGATTGGAGGGTACTGCTGACATTTAATGGGTGGAGGAGGTGGGGAAAGGGGATAGGAGCAAAAACTTAAATTGTCCTGTGGGATATATGGAACAGTTCCATATGACAAACACATGTTATGCCAAAACATAAACAGCGCTACCCTCTTAGGAAACACTGAGTGTGCAAACCAATTCTTGACCTCTTGTCCGTTATTTCTGAGCCCCTACTCTTGAGCTCTTTGCCTCAACTGGGGTCAAATCTCCCCTGTACACACAAGAGCCCCAAATGTGGCTCTCCCGCTTCTTCCTTCAGTGCTATTCCACGCCCTTCATTCACTTCAGTTACTGCCAAGATCTCGTGGGTAGTGGAGACTCATCTCCACCCAGAAGGTGGGCAGATGTCTAACATTTTTTGCTTCCTTTTTTCTCTTTTATCACCATATCGAAATGATTGGGTTCTGCACATTCTTTTTGTCTATAACTGCTTTTGGAAATGTTTATTTTCCATTCCCTACCCTTCAACCCTTCCTACACGCTGTTGCTGCAGTTGTCCTTTTGGGATACTCCCCACTGTTTTTGGTAATTCACTGTGACAAATCTTGCCTATCAGTTCTCGTAGGTTGAGACTCAGGTTATGACTGCTCATCCCACTCTTAATGACTTCCACATCTCTTTCTCCATTTCACCTTTTATCTTTTCTTTTCTTTCTTTTTTTTTTTTTTTTTGAGATGGAGTCTTGCTCTGTCTTCCAGGCTGGAGTGCAGTGGTGCGATGCAACCTCTGCCTCCCAGGTTCAAGCGATTCTCCTGCCTCAGCCTCCCGAGTAGCTGGGATTACAGGTGCCCACCAACATGCCAAGCTAATTTTTGTATTTCTAGTAGAGACAGGGTTTCACCATGTTGCCGAGGATGGTTTCAAACTCCTGACCTCAAGATCCGCCCGCCTCAGCCTCCAAAAGTGCTGGGATTACAGGCGTGAGCCACCACACTCAGCTCACCTTTTATCTTTTAACATCCCCTTACCTGGATCTCTATCCTAGCCAAGCTTCTCTGCCTAACAGAATTATGTGAGTTTTTCATTCTTCTATCAGTACCTTGGTAACTATCTCTAATGCACTAGCCTCCTTTCCTCCATCTCCTCTCCCTCCTCACTTACAGGCTCCATGTGGAGCCATGACAGAACCTGAGAAAGAAAGGGAAAAACCAGTAATATCAACCCTGTCTTTCTTCAACATTTTGACATGTTGCTCATTATTGATTTTTTGTATTAGTTGTGATTTTCAAAACTCTTGTGTTCAAATATGCCTAATATGACTCCTGAGTTTTTTGGCACCGTTTTAAATTCGGCACCAGATGCAAATGCTTCCTTTGCCTCTCCCTCTTCCTAGCCCTGCACAGAAGTGCAGCTCCCTCGCCTCCCATTCTGCTCCTAAATGGCGTCTCTGATGAAGACCTTCAGTGTTGACAGCCCCCTTGCTCTGCAGTTTCAGCACTGATCTAATCCTTGTCTGCTGTCAAGTATCCTGGGGGTGTACGTTGCCATGGGAGAGTTCTTGTCATCCACAGGGGTAGGGCATTTTGTCCCTCTCTCTATGATCAAGGTTCCCATGCTGTGCTTGCCACAGGGCTAAATATCTCACCCTCCACTCAGTGGGTGCTTAATAAAGAAATCCACGTGCATCACAGAATACAAGAGCTGGACAGTGATTGAAACCTCAGATAAGATATCAAGATGCAATAATGAGAATGTCGACCTTCAAGAACACAAGAGAAACAGACGAGCCAAAAAAATTTTAAAAAACCTACTCATTGATTTCACTATTATTTTGCTTTAAAAATTGTCTGTGAATAGGTTAGATGTCACTTGTCAAGAATCCTGGAAGGACAGAAATAGAAAAGTGAAATGGGCACTGGCACCGTTAGTGGGTTACGGTCTCTGGGAGGTGTCTGAGCACCCCCTGGGTCCTGCTGGGCCACCGCGCATTTGTTACTTTACAACTGCCATTCCCAACTGCCGGGGGGACCCTCTCGGTTCAAACAGTCCATCTCTTTCACAGTGAAAAAGAGTCGAAACAGCTCCTCCTACCTCCGCACGAAAACACATGGCTATCAAATAACAAGGTTAAGTATTTCTGAAGCATGTGGCAGAATACATTAGTTTCATCTCACTGGAGAAAGAAGACGTACCATGTTTGAAGACAGGCACATGGGAATCCGAGGGTGGGGCTTTAGGAACTGAACAGGATTTGGTGACACAGTTTTGAAAAGGAGTAGAATCAGATATTCGGACTCTTGAACTTCATGCTTTGGAAAGTTCTGCTCTCTGCCCCTCTCCCGACAGCATGTAAATAAGTTCTGATATTCAGAGACTGGGCAGCTGGGAATCTCGGTCAAACCTGCTGCCTTTCTCCTCAGCATCCTTTATCTCTTTCCTCCTCACTCACTTTCCATTCAGCGACTCCCCTCTCCTTTCCCACCCAAATCCCCTTCCTCACACCTAGATAACAGATAACAGCCCTAATGGTTCCAGAGCAAAAATTCAATAAGCTTGAGAGCAATAAATGATTCTTTGGTATGGCTGCTTTTCTTAATAGTTTCAATGTAGGATACTTTTTATGCAGAGCAGACACAGAAATTATACAGGACCTGTTTCAGACTCTTCTAAAATGCAGTAACTTTTCTTAAGATTTGATTATTTTGAACATTAGACATGTGGCCAAAGAAATACAGGAACAGGAAAAGACAGATTAGTAAACATGAATTCCATTGCTGTTACTCTGGGACACACTGAGGGTAACTACCCAGTTCCAATTGGGTTATTCAAAAGAGACATTAGATTGTCCAGTTTTTGTAAAAGACAGCAGATTTAGGTGAGATTCCTCAGAGCTACCCAGGATGCTGGGGGGAGGGGAGGCTCTCCCTGGGTCTCTCCCCTCCCAGAAAGGCATCTCCCCTGGGCTATTAGCTCACTGGATCTACTGGCATCTGCAGAACTTCTAGCACAAAAAACTTTTTAATTTACCAAACAAATAATAACCAGTAGCTGGTAAGCATTCTTGTATCATCAATATTTGAAAACCCAAAAAGGAAGACATTCGAAAATCGTTATATATCTGTCCAAACAATATTTTATGTTTTCTGACCTCTAAGTGACAACATTTCAAAAGACCAGTGTGAAGTACGGATGTCAGTCTGGTAAGCTCAGATATTATAAGAAAATATGTGGAATGTGTTTTATGGAAACGTAAATAATATGTATATAGATTAAAAGGAAGGAGGAGCATACAACCCAAGGAGATTACAAGAGTTTTAGGAACATCAAAGAATAACACAAGAGAGTGTATTAGTTTCCTGTGGCTGCTGTAACAAACTACCCCCCTACCATCTGGTGGCTTAAAACAACTGAACTTATTTGCTCAGAGTTCTGGAGGTCAGAAGTCCAAAAATAAGTATGACTGGGTTGAAATCAAGGTGTCGACACCAGCCACATTCCCTCCACAGGCTATAGGGGTGAACCTGTCCTTTGCCTCTCCTGGTTTTGAGTGGCTACCACCATCCATTGTCTTATGGCTGCATGGTCCCAATCTGCCACCGTGGTCACTTCACCTCCTCCTCTTCCATCTGTATCAAATCTCTCTCTACCTCCCTCTTAGAAGAACACTTGTGATTATATTTAGGCCCCACCAGGACAATCTCCCCATCTCAAGATTCTTAACTTAATCACACGTGCCGAGTCCCTTTTTCCATGTGAAGCAACATTTACAGGTCCCAGGGATTAGGACCTGAGAATTGTGTGGGCGATTATTCTGCCTACTAACCATAGGAGGCTCAGACATGGGATGACTTACTGGGCCACGTTCACAGAGGGAGGTGAGGAACAAAGGAAAGATAGTCTTCTTTCTTAGGGATGAAACAAGTGGAGCTACTTAACTTCCACTTTGCTTCTAGTTTTTCCTAGAGGGAGAATGGTCTTCACATTTGAAATGGTTGAACTCATACCCTTGACAGACAGTTAAAGATCAAGTTGAGGTTGGGTGCAGTGGCTCACGCCTGTAATCCCAGCACTTTGGGAGGCCCAGGCGGGTGGATCACTTGGGGCCAGGAGTTCTGGACCAGCCTGGCCAAAACAGTGAGACCCTGTTTCTAATGAAAATACAAAAATTAGCCTAGACGTGGTGGCAGGTGCCTGTAATCCCAGCTACCAGGGAGGCTGAGGTGGGAGGATTGGTTGAACCCAGGAGGCGGAGGTTGCAGTGAGCCAAGTTCGTGCCACTGCACTCCAGCCTGGGTGACAGAGCAAGACTCAGTCTCAAAAAAAAAAAAAAAAAAAAAAAAAAAAAGAATTATTAAACACAGATTGTGAATAATGTGAGATCACACCAAGTTTAGAAAGGATCTCTAAAAAGGCTGGAATTTAGGCCCCCAAACCTGTTGTACAAGTACAGGGTAAATATTAATAGAAATATATGTGAAACAAAATAAAAATGAAAACATAAAGCTTTGAGCCTACTTCAAGATTAATACAAGTCAGCATTATGCTCTAGCCAAAGGAAAATGTTGTCATTGCTGACTGTTCCAATCATAGAAGTAGAGTGTCCTAATTATGGGAATAATAAAAATTGTGGCAAACATGTTAGAGTGGAGAGAACACGAGTCAAGTTGACCTTGGTGACATGAGCAAATTACTTACAATTTCTATGGTTTTCTTTACTTACCTATACTACACAAGTCTTCAAGGGTTAGTATGAGGAATAAAATAAATAAAGAATTAAGGGTCCGGCACAGGGTAAGTTTTAAATAATGTGAGTTCACTTCTTCCTTTCTCCTCCTTTTGTTTCTACTGTAAAAGGCCAATAATGGATGAACAGTGAGTTAATTTAATTCTGATCCCCACATTTTAAGGAATACAATGGCAAACTATGGGCACAGCCATGGGAAGGGTGCTAGATTGGTGAAGTGGCTAGAAACTACGTCTCATAGTGATAAAAATATCTTACGTTTTCATAACATCTGACAATTTTCAGAGGGTTTGATTCCCCAAAACAATACTACCAGGTAAACAGACAAGTGTAAAAATGCCATCTTATACATGAATCTATAAATGACCAGAGCAATTAAGTGGCCCACCAAAGGTCACATAGATCATTCGCAGCAATAGGACCCAAATGCAAGTTTACTGAGCCCTCACCTAGCCGTTTCCTCTTTCTTACAAGCAGTGCTGGAGGGATTGGGAAATATTATTCTGGGGACGCCTAAGGGAAGATGTGATAACTTTCTTAATATATTAGCAGGATTATCCTGTAGTAAAGGGAATAGACTACTCCCTCCAACATAGAGACCGGGATTCATCGGTGGAAATTACAGCCAGACCAACTTTGGCTCAACATCAGGGGGAGCTTTGGAACCACTCGTGGTAAGCTGTAATAGGCTCAGGTTGACTAGTGAGATATTCAGGAATGCAGAGAAGGGCTGCCTGCATCAGGGTATCAGTTACACTAGACCCATTCATTTATTCCAATGTTAAACAGAATTATTGAGCAAAACACTGTGCTGGGCATTGTAGGAGATGGAGAGATCATTAAGATGTTGTTTCCAACTATGCAGCTCACCTCAAATGCCCCCTACAACTTTAGAAATCATATGAGGGTTTGACATTTTTATTCAAACAGATTTTTAAGACATTTGGGAAAACACAATTGGCATCAACAGTGGAGACTTCAACAACTGACAGAATGATGCTTATACCCACCTAAATGCTGCCTTATTTTCCAATACCGAAAGGACATGTGGACAAGTGTGCATGGCCCTGGAGCACTGTGTTCACCTTTCTAAGCTAGAAACCGACACCGTGACAGGGTGATGAGTGTTTTCTCTCTCTCCGTTCTTCTGAGAGAAGTCATTCTGCTTATTCTTGTTCAGTCTAGAATGGTAGCTGTAATTTGGAAGGAGGTCAGGTCAGTATCTCTAATTCTGCCTGTCTTTGAAATTGTTAAAATGTAACCATGTGCTATTCTAAAGCATTTCAATATTTGCATTTCTAATTCCTATAAATTATAAGCATTTATTTTATGAAACTTGGAAAGATCACTATTTGTCTCGAATTATACCAGTTTTGCCGGCATCACACCAGAACACAGAATTGTAGAACATATGAGATAGAAACCTGACACTCAGTTCTCTGCGATGTGTTAAACAGAGAAAGAAAAATAGTACTGCTGTATAAAAAGCTGGATAATCAGTCTCAAACCTCAAATTATAAGATTAAATCAATAAAGAAAACAATGGAAAGCGTACACTACATCAGAACTGCTGAAGAGAGTCTCAGGGGCGTGATGGAGAGTTGAGTAAGGCAATCAAAGCAAACGTTCTTAACTTGCTGCCGAATGTCTAATCTGGATTAAAAATGGGTTTGCTCAAAACCATTGCTCATGTATATTTCTCTTAAAATAGCATGTTGAAGTATGTTTTGAGTGTTTGGAAATTGTTGCTATTGTTTCTTTAAAAAAAACAGACTGGCACTTAATGGCACATAGAGAATAATATTTTTCAATGATTGAAAGTAAAGAAGAAAGACAATAATAATCTTTTCCAGCAAATGAGTTTTACAAGCTAGCCCTACTCGTCCACAAGCAATTTCCAGCCCACAAGATTTTCCCAGGCCTTCTCACATTTTTTTTTAGTTTCAAAATAATGATGCATCTGGTGACAGCATGCCATCAGAGCCTTAAGAAATCACCAAAAACAGCTCCCTGGATCAGAGTTCCAAATTTTATCAAAATTCTTACTTCCCACAGACTGATTTATCACTGATATGATCTCCCCAAGACCCTGTCTCTCCCAAAGAATGCGGACCTATGATGAATCACTAATTAAAATAGACCTTGAATTCCTCATTCAACTGCTGCATGCATAGAGATTTCTTCTTTGATTAATGGTTACTTTAAGAAGTAAAGATTTAAAACCTTGTTTCCAAAAATTATTATTTCATTTCTTTATGGCTTAAAATAGAAGCGAACTACAACTTTAAGGGCTTGTGAATGATTTAAAAATTTGCTTCCAGCCAGACGCAGGCTCACGCCTGTAATCCCAACACTTTGGGAGGCCAAGGTGGGTAGATCAACTGAGGTCAGGAGTTCGAGACCAGCCTGGCCAACACGGTGAAACCCCGCCTCTACTAAAAATACAAAAATTAGCTGGGTGTAGTGGCAGGTGCCTGTAATCCCAGCTACTCAGGAGGCTGAGGCAGGAGACTCTCTTGAACCTGGGAGGCAGAGGTTGCAGTGAACTGAGATTGTGCCACTGCACGCCAGCCTGGGCGACAAAGCTAGACTTCATCTAAAAAATAAAATAAATAAATAAAATTTAAAAAAATTGCATTCTCTATAGGAGCTACAGAAAAAAGGGTCATTTTTTTTTTCTCTTTTCAATGGCTTTACAGGACAGAGTCTTGTACCTCCGGAATAGGAAAAAGACTGTTCTAATTGTATTTAATTAACAAATACTAAATTAGGATACAATCCTCTTCCTTGATTCATGCCCTTCCTTCCAGTACTCATTTCTCATCTAAACTGTAATCTTGAGGTTAAAAATGATGGCATCTCACCCAGTTTCAACTCCCAGTCTTCTTTCTGAGTCTGCAAATATTTGGCTGTCATGGTCTCAAATGACTTATTGCTAGAAGAATGTAATGCCAGAAGACTATTTAGAATTGTAATGGTTACAGAATCCTAGAGGGAAGGAATTCTGCATCCTCCCTGTGGGTCTTCACTTCTGTTGAAAGGAAAATCTATCCTATGTGTTAAAGGGCTCCAGCGAAACAGATTCTGTCATTTTCCTTGAAGACACATTCCTGTGTCTCACAACTACCTATATGGGAAAATATTTTATGTATTTAAACTGAATCCTTCCTATTCCAGAAGACATCCATTTATTTCCCTCCCTGGGAATGTTGAAGAATAGTCTGTTACTGTCCTCTGCATAACAGTCCTGGGCCCTGGAAAGCGGGAATCACCTTGCCCTGCCTTTCTCTCTCCTTCATGTCATTTAGTCTTCCCCCACTGTCCTGAGCAAATACTCCCATTACAGATGATTTGCTTCAAAATCTATACTCCATGATTGCCTACTTTAAGAAATCTGAACTAAGTATTTTAATGTTTAGCACAGCAATCCTCTTTTAGGTATTGGGCCTGGGCCCGTTTTCTCACTGTGGCTTCAGTAGCTGTACCATCGTGAGCAAGTCGCTTACTAAAGTGGAACTAATAACGCATTCCACAGAAGTTAGTTGAGAAAACTCAGGGAGATAATGCGCAGAAAATGCTTAGTTCATTGGCTAGTACACAGTAAGTCTTTAATAAATGTTAGTTTAATTTTACATCAGTAACTTATCTGCTTGGTTATAAAATCCATAAACTTAGATGTTGGGCTGTTATAAACTTGGGGAATCACCATGGGCTGGAAAGTTGGCCTCTTGTATGTATCTTTAACACTCATGTGATATCTAAGTTAAGATTTAATATTGGTTGACACCAAGCCTGACCCTTTTTGGTACCTGAATCACTTTGTAATAACATGATGAGCACCAACAGAAGCCTAGTACCTTGGATAGGTTTAAGTGGACAGAGGTTAAAAAGATCCAAGAAATGTCTCATTCATGATTAATTTTACTTACAGATTTGGACTTTCTAGGGTAAGTCTTTGCAAATGTTTTTCTCATTTATTGCTAAATATCAACATTTTCTTTAACCCATCTGGAGGAGGGTAAGGGTTGACAGCGTCCCTGACCAAATCCAGAAGAGACTATTAGGATGTAGTCCAAAACACAAGATTCAAAGAAAGGGTTGATAGGGCAGGAGCGTGGTTACAGTGAGACGGTGTTCAGGACGCAGGTGAGATTCATTGCTGTGAGCAGCCTCACTTTGAGCTGGGTCCTGATTTGGGCAGGGAGCTCAGAAAAATGAGCTGATTAAGAGATGCAAGAAGGGAGAGTTTCAGGAACACAATCACAGGCATCCTATGTGTTGGGGACAGCTTGGCTTACACCCACATCTCAGAGAGGGCTTTGCTCAAAGAAGGTATGCTATTGTGTGCTGAACTGGGAATGGGGAAAACATTGGCCTCAATTACACTTGTACTTTCCAAAGCGTTAGCCATCAGGTGATATTTTTATAAGACTCTCTAGGGTACTTCACATAATCGAAGCACAATACATTGAGTGTGCTAGGAAAGCACCTTAGTTCCCCGTACTGTTGAAGATTCCGCAGTCTTTAAGTTCAGTGGTACTAATGAAGCCTGTCCCGACACAGGGACCACAGATCTTGTTCATATGTGCACAAATGTGGCTAAGAGCAATCAACCACGCCCGACTGCCTTTCCTTACTTCCCCCCTCCCTCCCTCCTCTTTTCTCTCCTTTCCTCATGCAAATATCAAGCAGTTTTGCTCATTCTTTAGTTCTGGATCCTCTACAGATTTTCAAGTATATCTGAAATGCATCCCAATGGTGAGAATCTTAACAGCACAAAATACTTCACATGGGATATTTATTGAGATAAGATGAAAAGGATGTTTCTTAATTTTATTTCTAAAATAGTATAAAATGTATGTACACAAGGCTATAATAGATAAGTAGAAAGAATGATGGGTTGATCTAACTGTAGCTATAGAATCAGAAAGAAAATATTTCTTTTTTAGAGTGATTTCTCAGAATAAGCTTTATACTTTGCAGTATTCACCAATAACGCAGACAAAATTACAAGGTTGACCCTTTTTTTCAATCTATTGCCTCTCACTATATAGGCATTGCCAGAAAAGGAAGAATGTTGGTTCAAACTTTCAAAAAAAAAAAACGATTTCTAAAGGGAAGTTGTACTTTAAATGATTATTAGATGTTCTTTCTAGCAAAACCTTGGCAAATGGGGTAAAATTTGTGATTTGCAGGTAAAATACCAAGAGGTTAGAAGCCTGAATTTTCTACTCACCGGCATCAAATCCTAGTTTTGATGAAAGGCTCCTTTCAAAGTCTCAGGGTCTCATTTCCTAGACTCAGAGACTGTCAGAGCTGGAAGGACCTTGGATGGTCGCTAGTCTCAACCTCTAGTTTTACACTGGGGACCTAGGACCCTCAAGAGAGATAAGTGACTTGTACAAGATCCCCAGTTAGTATTATAATTAGCAGAGCCAGGATTGGAAGGGTGTTCTCCTGAGTCCAAGTTGAATGCTTTTTCTGCTACAACATTGCATCTTCTCTTGACAGAAATGGAACCTGCATCAGAAGAAGTCTCCTGAGAGATGCCATGTGGGTTTTTTTTAAAAGTGTGATGCATTTTTTAATCCACTTTGAGAAAAATGCTGCCAAACTCTTCTCTAGGGAGTAGAGCCTCTATAAGGGGAGGAGGAGATCACAATGAATAATCATTCCTTTAACACCTAGACTGCATCCGAAAGGCCACAACCACCCTGGGGAAGATGATCAGATGTAGAGCATCTGAACTGGGTGAGGGAGAAAAAGACACAGAGAAAAGTGGAGGAACTTAGCAGTCAAGGGATATTGGGGTAGAATTGAAAAGTGAGCAAGACTAGAGAATGGAAGAGGTATAGGTAGTAGAAGAGAGGCTCAGATCTTCTCTATCTATTAGAAATATGATATTTTCTTCATACATATGAAATGTTTTGTTACAGCCGATGAGAGCCCAATAAAGAACTAGATAGATTCCTTTTGTCTATGCTAGGGTATTGGGAATCCAGTCTCTTTTTATGTGTGCGTGCTTTTTAAATTCACTAAACCCTTGGGGAGTAGGGGACAGTCTGGGAGAATACAGGAGTCAGGATAAGGGTCAGATGAAAAGAAAGGCATCAAGAAATGAACAGAATTGAAACATAATGATAGGGTGGGACCAGTGCAAAGTGCTTTGTGCCCAGCTCAGTAGTGAAATGTTGATCAATTTCCCTAAGACTGATAAATTCTGAGGATTACTCCCTGTTTTAGAATAACTTCAATTAGGTTTCCTTTGGTTTACAACAAAAAAAAAGGTAGTTTTAAATTATTCTAAGCCTACAGAATGAGTCTAGGTATACTAAACTTGGTATATGAAAGTTCCCCAATAAGACTTTTAAAAATCATTGTATTTTCCAGATAGTATTAATTATTACAATATCTAGCATATTTCTATACCTGCAGTAGGTGCTGTATAGATAAGCTGCTTTAGGAGCCACCCAAATGTTTGTTGATGAACTTAAGATAGTACACGTGTAATACCAAGTTACTGCTATGCGAATATTCAAGAAGCATTTTTTCCCATGCTTTCCTCTCTAAACACAGTCTCAGAATATAAGAAATCTGATGAGATCTCACATCTAATTGATTTGTTTTTCTTTCTTTTCCCACCAATGTCGAAAAGGATCTTTTCAGCTATTCCCAGGAATCATGTGGTTTGATACTTCCTAAATTTTCCTCTGCACTACCTGAGCACAAAACAATGCAATGATGGGAAAGAACACGTTCTTTCTTTGAATGAAATTCACATTTATTCTGAGAGCAAGACTTCTGGGGTTTGTCTGTGACCCTAATGATGAATCCAAAGACTGTGCAAGAGAAAATAAAAGACAGGTCTTGCTTAAGGGCCTTTCTTACATTCTTGAATGCAGACCATCTGGGTCCCTCCACAGAGAACTGCCTGCTGCCTCTCGCAGAGAAGAGAGCTCCAGCAACCACAGGTGCCTGCAGGTTCCTCAGACTTCCAGAGTGTTCCAGGGAAGGGACTGCTGCTGACGTTGCGCTGCAAGAGCAGTCCTGAGTTTCAACCACATTTTCAGTTATGACTTCTTCAAAAGAGAGCATCTGAAAAACACAAGATCATTTCTACTCACATGAAAACACATTCAACAGAGAAAAAACAAAATCTCTGTCCAGAGACGTGCTTTATTTCCATCCTACATTCGGACAAACCCATTAACACTGCAGGTGGCTTGCGAGGATAGACCCCCAGGCTGAGACAGGCGTATGGCTGAGATTTTCAAAGTTACCACGTCGCGGCCGGGCGCGGTGGCTCACGCCTGTCATCCCAGCACTTTGGGAGGCCGAGGCGGGCGGATCATGAGGTCAGGAGACGAGACCATCCTAGCTAACACGGTGAAACCCTGTCTCTACTAAAAATACAAAAATTAGCCGGGCGTGGTGGCGGGCTCCTGTAGTCCCAGCTACTCGGGAGGCTGAGGCAGGAGAATGGCGTGAACCCGGGAGGCGGAGCTTGCAGTGAGCAGAGATCGCGCCCCTGCACTCCAGCCTGGGCGACAGAGCCAGACTCCGTCTAAAAAAAAAAAAAAAAAAAAAATTACCACATCTTCTCACACTGAGGACTCTTCTAGGAAAAAAAAATGCGAAGGGGGCATCATATTTCATCCAGAAGAAATACCATTCTAGGCAAACATTTTTTGGTTTAAAATTCACCTATGATAAATTTTACTTTATTTCTTTTATTTCTAGTATGTAGTTTCGAATAGAAAATTTATCATTTTCAAATATGGCTTTTAAAACAATCCTAACAGGTACTGTCACATTATTATTACTATTATTCAAATTTCAGGCACTGTGCTTCCGTATTGTTTATTTGGAGTAGCTTAAATGTGTACCATCCTTGAAAAGACTGCTATGTTTTGTTATCCATTTGAATTAAAGTGCTTAGAATTCAGTATCAACAGCAGCAAATGACCTTTTTAAATACACCTAATTTACTGAGTCCATTAGGTTTATGATAATAAATAAAACCTCTGCAATGCTTCACAATAACAATAATGCCTTTCAAATCATTCTGCAACTTAATGGCCAATTTCAGAGCATTAAATGTTGTTAACAATCAATTTAGTGGATATTATTGTGCTTCAGTTTATAAATATCAAATTATATAGGTCATAGTGTTACCTTTGCAGGCTAGTTGCGGATTTAGATCGATGTCCTGTAGAATAATTGCCAGATATTTTATCATGCTGTCTTTTTGAAAAAGTCTGATTCACAGCAGGTTCCTAGGCTTTTGCACTGACACTTTTCCCTAACTTTTTCCCCCTCAGGATCAGGTAATTAAAAGGGTATTGATGCAAAGGGAAGCCGAGCACCACATGGCTTGGCAAAGTGTTTCCATAAAGTTCTGTCCTGTAGCTGTGGATACAAACTCAAGCTGGTCATGTGCAGAACTCCAGCATGTCGAGCCCACTACCCCTCGGCACAGCCAAATGTTTCAGCAGCTGCCCTTTTGTCCTGTTTCTTAAATAAACAAAGAACAGATACAAATTAATGACCTAAATTTATGGCAAAACACACTGCCCTCCCAGAGCAAATAGCCTTAAAAGAACAGATGCTAAAATAACATTTCTTACCCACAGACCCCCAGAGAAGATACTTCTGTAAGCATGTTAGTTTATATTCTATAGAAACTAATAATTGTAGAAATGTAATCGGATTGTGCAATGTCACGCTTAGGCCGACCTCACAAGCTTCCAGGCATGGGCAGAGGGTACTCATGGTTTGTTCCATGATCCGCTGCCCCATTCTGCTCCAGGATCTTAATCACTTTATTTCACCTTTGCATTTTATTTTGCTTTTTTGCCCTGGCAAGATCAAAAGATCATGTTTCTAGGTTTTTAAATCATATCTAATGATTGGAGTTGATTGACATGGTCGCTACTGTGATTTCTAGAGAACGTCAGGAATGTCAGATCTTCTTTGTTTTGCTCTGAACCGCAGGACAGAATTGTAGAAAATGGGGTTGTTCCTGTGTAACTCCGTTCAAAATTTGCTTTCTGCTTTTTTTTTTTTTTTGTCTTGGTTTTTGTTTTAGCCAACGCCAACTACACATAACAAAAAGCTGATGCAAACTATGAAAACCTCACTGCCGACTTTGCATCCAGAGCCTTAGCAGTAGCTTCATCATTTATGGCACATGGGGATGAAGCTAGGTCACCTCCAGGCAGGTATTATAATGAAAAGGTACAGTATGTTCATTGGCCACACGTTGCACATTCTCTTTATCCCACACTGTACAGTATTTCCCATCTTATTCAATAATTTAATATACATTTTCTTGTCAAGCTTCTTGGCAGCAGGCTATGCAGCTTGCAAGATGGACTGAGAATGCCACAGGTGGGCTGATTAGCGGGTGGCATTTCTGAATTCTAACAAGCTGTTAGCATTATGTCTGTTTGCTTTAGGTACAGATGTGAAATGATTTGACAGTAGATTTCAAAAGTGTATGAGTACATTTTTGTATGTCAAACTATGGAAATACGGGGTTTTAAAAATTTCACACATTGATGGTATGTATTGTATTTATTAATTTCAGAAAGTATATGCCACTGACATGGCATAAAAATGAAAAAGCAGTCTCCGCAATGTATCAAATGAACAGATTGAATAAACATCCCACTCCCAGTTAATCAGAAAGTCTTATCTTGTGCTTCAGAAAAAGTCAGAGGTTGGAATAGCTCAGCCAGAAAATAAGAGTCTTTGGAGAGTTTATTTTAATTGGTTTTATAGTATGATGGTGATTAAAAAAAAAAGACAGAAAGAGAAAAAAAGCAAAAAGGAAAAACAACCACCACTCACAACAAATGGCGAGTGGAATACTTGCCGGTCACGTTAAGTGACATCTGCCCTAGTCTAAAATTTCAAAGGTGATTTCAGGATGGATAAAGGAAAGTCTGCCTAACATACAAAAAGGAAATTTAAAATAGATCTTAGAAATTTAAATTTCGATATATGCCAAAGCTGCACTGCAGACGTGAAAACTGAGAGACACCCAGAAGTTAGAGAGCGAACTGGCTGGCATGTAAAGGTCATTCCAGGTAACTCAGGGGAAGAAGGCCTTTCTTTCTTTCTGAGGATGGCTCAGCCATGAAGCAGGAGGGATTCAAAGGGGTATATTCATGCTTAGGCTTACAGGGACTATTCTGCTTTGAGTCTATGGAAGAAGATTTGGATGGCTCCACGATACTCCAAGGCGTTCTGTTCCCCAGCCCTTGGGGAATCCATCATCACAAAATCCATCCCAGCCTCTACCTGTGGCAGAGCCTTACAGTAGCTGTAGATGGGAGGATGCCTCGGTCCTTCTTTGGGAGGATCTGAGAAGTCCCTCGATCACATCGTAACGGGTCAGAAGGAAGACATGAGGATAGGAGACACCAAAGTTAACCCCACCGCATACCCAGGAAGCTCTGGATGGGTAGCAGGGAGTGTCCTGCATACCCAGGAAGCTCTGGGTGGGCAGCAGGGATCCCCCAAAGGAAGACAGGCAACATGGGTCGGAATTATGTTGCCATCAGGCACAAGAGCTGGGGGCTTCCGGATGGAAGTGGCGGGCAGCGCATCTGCCGTCAGGTGTAAGGAGTCATCACAGCCAGTACCAGGCAACACGAAAGAGGCTCAGATTTTTGTCTCCATCATTACCGTGGACTGTAAGAGGGCGAAATGATCTTAAAGTATAGCTAATACAGCACTCTGAATTTACAGATGAAAACCACGGCTTAGAGAGGGAACGTGTCAAATCACTTTACAAGCAGGGCTGCGTTTGCTCATGGCAGCAGTGCTGTGAGGTGAACGGAGAAAGCATGCTTCCCAGGTGAGTAAATAGACTTGGGGTGAGCCGTTTGCTCACAGTCACACAGCTGGGCTTCTGAAGTCTGAGGCCACTGCTGCAAAGTGGTCACTAAAGTATCTTTTTAATCATCACATTCATCTGACAAAGATGTCCTGGGCATTGACTTTGTGTTGGGCACTGTTCTAGGTACCAAGAATGAGCAGGGAATAACATGGACAAAATTCCTGCCCATGGGGGTTCTGCCTGCTGGTGGGAGAGATCAACAATAAATAAAATGAGTGCCTTTGGCATAATAGTTAAGAAAGTGAAAGGGTTAGGGAGAAAAATGAAGCAGCCGTGGGTGACTCAGAGCGTGGAGGGTTGGGATGACTGTGGTCAGAGAAGACCTCCCTGGAGGGAGAGAAGCAGTGAGCCACTTGGAGATTGATCAGGGACTGGCATTCCAGCCAGAGGGAACCAGTGCAAAGTCCTGAGGCAGGAGCAGCTTTGCAAGATCAAGGCACAGTGAGTCAGTGTGACTGGGACAGCTGAAGCTGGGGGACAGTCGCCGGGCAGCAGTCACAAGGCAGCCTGTGCAAGGTGACGAGTGGGGTGTGGGGCCTTGAGGCCATTGTAGAGACAGAAAGCATTTCCAAAGGTCATCAAGGGGCTCTTGTTAGTGTAAAAATACTATATATATATATATATTTGGTTTTTAATATATGTATTTGGTTTTTAAAAGACAGGGTCTCACTATGTTGCCCAGGCTGGAGCACAGTGCCTATTCACAGTTGCAGCCCCACTGGAGATCAGCACAAGAGTTTTGACCTGCTGCATTTCCCATCTGGGCTGGTTCACCCCTCCTTAGGCAGCCTGTGGTCCCTGCTCCAGTGAGGTCACCATAATGATGCTGAACTTAGGGCAGACTCCCCATGGGCCAACCGCACTTACAGCCCAGAGCTCCTGGCCTCAGGTGATGCTTCTGCCTCAGCCTTCCTGAGTAGCTGGGACTACAGGTGGGGGTCCCTAAATGTCTTATATTCTTTATCCTTTTTTTTGAGGTGGAGTCTCACTCTGTTGCCCAGGCTGGAGTGCAGTGGTGCGATCTCGGCTCACTGCAATCTCCGCCTGCCTGGTTCAAGCGATTCTCCTCCCTCAGTCTCCCACGTAGCTGGAATTACAGGCGTGCACCACCACACCCAGCTAACTTTTGTATTTTTAGTAGAGACAGGGTTTCGCTATGTTGGCCAGGCTGGTCTCGAACTCCTGACTTCAAATGATCCGCCCACCTCAGCCTCCGAAAGTGCTGGGATGACAGGCATGAGCCACCGCGCCCGGCCCTAAATATGCCTTATGTTCTTATGCAGCAGAGCAGTCTACATTCCACGACACAGACTTCCGGGTCAGCTTTTGGAGCCCAACTCATTTAAAAACTGGAGCCTTCCTTTCAATATAAAACAGTCCAGAAATCTCACTGTCCCATCTTGGGGGTCAAGCACTGTCAAGCACTTTACAAACACAATTGGAACATTCTCTTGTTCAAAATGGCCCTTATAACTTTTGTCCTGGTTTTCCTCAGTGTATCATGGTCTCCTCCTCTTGCCATATAAAACTGTCTTTCTTAGACATTTCCAACCATTTCAACAAGCAACAATTAAAAATAATCGTCATCTTAGCTCCTAGATCTTAGAGACTATATTTTCCTATCTTTTTTTTTTAAATTAGTTTTTCTCGTAATAGGCCTTTGGCTAAAAAGATATTCCACAACCTCAAGTATGATAGTTATAAGAAAAGAGGTATAATATGGAACCCATAGGGAAACCCTTCCTGACTCACCTCAACCTGAGGATCTGTGTCGTCACCCCTTAGCCTCAGTGGCTGGTGTATTGCAGGGGCTTCACCAAAATCTGTTGACTGTTAAAAGGCACTTCCATCAGAAAAAGAAAGTGGCCACGTAGCATAGGAAAACTAACTTGAATTTTACCTTCTCAATACTATTGGAATATGGGTTATTTCCTCCTCCATCACACAACCTACTTCCAGAAATAGCACGTGCAGGAGGAAGGTAACTCCACCCTCGGAGGGCTGGCAGCTAACTCCTGGGTCAGCATCTTGGGATGGGGTTTATACACAGACCATCCATCCCCTGGGTGTTATTCCTGGGTGTGGGGCTTTGATGTATCCCACCGTCCAGGGGTGCCTAGGGAGAAGTCAGCGTCCACAAACACGGCCTGACCTCTTGCGTTTGTGCAGCTGCTGCGGGTTGTTTCGGCCTCCCCGCTGCAGGCCAGCTGCCTCACGCTGCCATCGCGTGCCTGCCATCACTCACCCTCGTGGTCAGTCCCCAGGACCCAGCCGGCTTTTCTGAGGACTTGAAGCTTCCTCCTCCCCAACCCCGACCTCACCACACACACTACCTTTAAAAAGCTCAAGTCATAAAATAGATACCAGTCGACATTTATTTTCAGCACAAGGCAAAAAAAAAAAAAAAAGCTCTCCTTTAAAAACCAACACCAATATTTTTACAGAACCTTTCTTTATTGCAACGTGCCATCTCTGTGCAGAAGGAGAATGCTGCTGGTTTGTCATGTGGAGGACCAGCACTTGAGTGATGCGTTTGGAGAGATGATGGATTTGCGCTGATCCATCCGCACTCCCAGCTTGCCTGGTCCCCCCTGTGACCAATGGCAGGCATTTGCGAGACAGCTGGCGGGGTGAGGGGTGCAGGCGGAGGCTGTGCTACGGGCTCACTGGCCTCTGCACGGATCAAAGACTCATTAGCATCCCGCTCTCACCAAATCAACTTATTGGCTCAGACAATCTGTATTGCTTTAAATCTTCAGACAGCTATAAAATGTATTTGTCAACTAAACAGGGTTAGGATTTGGTTTTTGACAGTTCCCATCCGAAGACAAAAAAAGTACACATCCCCAAAGCTGCACCTATTGCACATGTTGTCACTGTAGGGTGGGATTTTTTGGCAAACACAAATTAAAAATTATTTCTCAAAGTACTAAAATAGGACAAATAGGCCACAAAAAAAAAAAAAAAAAAAAGAAGAAGAAGAAAATATCTCATCTGGAAGATCTGGTGGCAAACCACTCAAAATGTTTCTGAATGGCTTATGATGTCTCAAGAATTTTCTGAAAGATTTACAAGATTGTAGCATTTACACTGTGACAGTGCGTGTTTTCTAGTCTGTTGAATATTACTGTTTGTGTGACTCAATGGATGAAGTGAAAGTTGAGGACTGAAAAGACATTTCATTTTAATTTAGATTCTACCACCGACTGACTCCTGACTAATAGCAAGTTATTTTCCTCCTCTGTCTCTTAAATTTGCTAGGCACAAAATGGCAATTGCAAGAGTCCATTATTTGCCCTTTGGGTAAACTGTGGAAAGAAGATTTTTTTGTTTAAATGGAAAGGACTCTTGATGCTATAGGAAGATCTAGCTACAGGATACTGAGAATTGCTTTCCTGCATAAGGGAAAATGTACTGCGGATATGAACGTTACATTTGGGCTATGTACGGTTGCCCATTCTGACGATTCTCTGTGTAGGCTGTCCAGTCTGCTGGAAATAGCAGAGGCACCAATCTTTCTGCTGTTCATTTTCCTTTTAAGAATCCTCCAGTTCCCATTACGTTATTGCCTGGAAGGAAAGGAAAGCAGCAGCCTGTTTTCCAGTTGGAGCCTGGTGCGATCTGTGTGGTTCCTGGGTACTGAGAGAGAGCTCAGGGAAGATGCAGGCTTTGTGACTCTCACCCTCCAGCGAGGCCCCAGAGGCACAGGCACCTCAGTGAAGGCCGCTAGGGCCGTGACCTCCTGTGACTCCGGTCTACCTGTCCAGTTCACTGAGATGTTAACCCTGGGACGACCAGCCTCTTGGTTTGGTGGTGTCAAATATAGACATGGGGGAGGAGAGAAGAAGAGCAGTCATTTAGTTAGAGCCCAAAAGGAAATCATGAAAACTATATAAACATCTTTTTTTTTAAGGCTTAAAAAAGCCTCACGTTGCACGGAGCAAGCAGGAAACAGCTGTTGAGTGGAGGGGGTAATGGATGGCGGGTCTGGTGAGCAGCGCGGAGGAGATGGCTCTGTGGTCCTGGGCAGGGGTGAGGATGCTCCTGCCAGGGGAAGGGAGTGCGTCAGGGCAATCAATCAAGTCAAGAATTTCAACCATCGGGTCTGCAGTGAGGATTTGCTTCCCAGGGGGTTGCATTTTCTCACTCATAATTCTTTTCAGTGGAAAAGAGAAAGGAAAGGGGGAAACTTTAGGATCATTTGTATTATGAGGGTATCAGATTGAATAAAAACGCTTCCCATTTTAAAGCTGACCTGTCATGAAGGACCTTGTGTCTTTTCCTCTTTGCTAAGCATGTAATTAGGCACTTGAATTCCTAATCACAATACAGAGGTTAGATAATGGGTGTACAGTTGTTTATAGGACTTAAGGTTGACTTTAAAATCGGAGATGCCTGCTCTGTGAGTCCTTAGACGTTTTCTGAGCCTGAATGTTTCAGATTTTCCATCCTGGCATTTCTGTCCTCTTATGCAGTGACTCCCCGTATGGTATTTTATGCAAATTAAATAGTAGGTCGACAGGCATATTAACATTTTTAATAGTTTAAATTATTTCACTTGAGTATCTATAAATTAGATTTTTCAGATGTTTTCCTGTGTATTCCTACTTACTCATACAAGGTTAAATTTCTATTAGACTAATAAGGCAGTGCATTTCTTAAATGATGTTAATAAAATACGTGTAAGGAGTTTTAGCTTAAAAATGTGCTTTCACACGCAGATTGAACATGATGCTAGTGTTGGGTTGGGTTTTTTTTTAATCCTATACATTTTACTAAAAATAGTTTACCAAAAGAAAGTCTGCTTTAATTTAATTGTACTTTAAAAAATCCCATCATCTTCCAGGAATTAGTTACAGTATCGTTAGAATTTGAAACTATAGTCAGCAAAAGAAGAACCTCACATAAAAGAAAGTGTATGATCAGGATGCAGAAACCCATGCCCGTACTGGTCTTTTCACCTTCATTTCCTGTGCTGGGTATTTCACGGTTAATGGTGAAAGGAAGGGATTTGGAGACAACCTGGTGCCCTGCTACGTGGGGTGGAGGCTTTGCTGGGCGCCGTGGGATGACAGCATCCTCTTGACGCTGATACAGAGAGAAGGGTCATCGCCATGCCAGGACAGTGACAGCAGGGGCAGCTGCCACCCCCACTGGCACATGCCGCTTGACTCGGTGCCTAAAGATAACAAAACTAGAGCCATAGGAAAACAGAAGAATTCCATTAGCGGGAGCGTTCATCCTCGGGGAGAGGTGAGCAGGCTTCAACCTGCCAAAGTTCCGTGAGTAATGAACGGCCCCGGAAAAAATCCTGGATTCCACCGTTTTCCACTGCCCTACAGGGTTTTCTGTGCCTATCAGCAAGTTTAAATGTATGCTTCTCTGTTGCCTTCCCGACTGCCATGCTGAATTGGCAGCTTGGAAAGCCAAACCTCCTCTTTCCTGGAGGGGCTACTTTCCTCAGTGGGAAGAACGGCGTTAAACATTTAGGATAGAAGATGAGAGAAAACTGGGAAAGGAGTAATGTAAATAAAGGCAGCAGGGATGCAAAGGAAGGAAAGTTTAAAACATTGGAGTTGGGCTAATGCAGAGCAAGAGGGTAGTCAATAGGCATAGAGAATAGTACCTGCCTTCTCCAGTAGAGATCCGGGGTTTATTCCGAAAACATTTTAAAAATGGAAACCCAGAAGTATGAAGCAAAAAAAATCATCCAAGCAGAGAAAAGGGGCACTATGGCAGTGAGACAAAAATCTGAGGTGCACAAAAGTCAGAACGTTCGCGGTGCAGCAGGGAAACACCATAACAGGAAGGGGAACCTGGATATCTACATGTGATAGACCTGAAAGTCCAGGGACAATAAGAAAAGCCATCAAAAGAAATTTAAATCTTAATTAATCTAAATTGTTTGCAGTATTATCTCCAGGCTACCTGAACTTCTGGATAATTCCAGGTTTACCTGGAAACTCCTGACTGTCCTAGTAAGTACAGAGGACTGAATATAGTTAACTCTTTCCTTAAAGACTGAGGAATTCTCCTTGATGTCAAGTCATCGTGAACTTCAATTCTTAGTTTTGCTGGATGCCCGTTTTCTCAACTGAGCACAGTGTTGAAGAGCATGGGCTCTGGAGTGAACCTGAATGCAAATGCTAGCTCTGCTCTTTCCCAGTTGCAGGACAGTAATAGCAACTTATTCATAGGATCTTGTGAGGATGGACTGAGATAATGGATATAAATCAATTAGCACAGTGTCTGGCACACATTAGCACTCAATAAATCTTCATTGTTTTATTATTATCACAATCTCCTATTCTACATTAGGAGCTAGAAAAGATCTGTTCATTAGCCTGAATATGGTTATCATACCACCTCTCGCAATCATACCTTTGTTTTCTCAGGCTCAATTCTCTCTGCCTTTAAAATAAGATATATTGGGAGATGGATTAGGCAGGCCAGGAGAGGATGGGGAATTTTACCAATTGAAGATTCCAGAAAGGTGAGCCACAGTTCATTTTTGTTGATATCACCAGTCTGATGAATTATTATGTATTTAGGCACAAAGTCATATTTGTGAATTTTCTGCCATTGCACTAATCATAAAATGGAAATCCACCACTACCTTCTGTTTGCTGTCTCCCAACGCTGGGGTTCTAGTTTCTAAATTAACTCCACATGCAACTAATTATCTCTGGTGGTGGATGAGATTTTTAGATTATTTTTAAAACATTGTTTAGCCTTAAATTACTTTCTAAAAATAGTACGAAAGCAAAGTAAACAAACCAAAAAACCTCGAAAGCACTGATTTCCATGGACCACCGACTCAGGGGCAGTTCCAGACACTAACTCAGGGTCAGCTTCCTAGGGACCCAGGAGTCCCCTCTCCCTACTGCCTGGAAATGGCATTTGGCATGTGCATACTCAACAGGGGCCAAGAAACGGGAAGCTGTGGGGCAGACAGTGAATAAGAAGTTTTCTGATGAAATCAGAGACTTACATGAACTGCATGGAAAAACTGTGGGCTAGGAAACTGACTCCCCACCTCAAACAGGATCTCAGGTAAATCTGATGGGTGAGTCTTAGAACAGATAGATCCTCACAGTCCCCATTTTATGCTTCTTTTAGAAAATGACATTTAATAGCCCAGAGACTTGTCACGTGATGCAGAGAGCATGCACCATCCAGGCCCCTCAGGTACATCTTCCTTCCCCAGGACAAACCCTACCTGGCATGGAGGGGTTAACAAAATCACAGCCCAAGATGGTATGACAGCAGCTTGATTAATAACGATTATCACAGCAGATGGAAAACTGTAGACAAACTTTCCATAGAATGAGTCTACCACAAAATTTCTTGATGAGACAGAAGGATGGTTAGCGACCACAGACTTATTCCTTTACTGAACGGAATAAAATTGCTGAATTTCTACTCACCCCTTTTGATAATTTTCACAGATCTCCAGTGGCTTACATTTGAGATTCAGACCCCTCATTCATGTGTGAAATGTACTGCTTACTATGCGGACGTGTGATACTTCGCAGGGCAGCGAATGGCGCATTCCTCCTTAAATGTATGCGTGTGCATGTGTCTCAGCAAAAGTGACTACAAAGGTGTTCTGTTCAGCACTTCAGCTTTCCAGTGGGTATGTATACTTGGACCTCTGCTGCTGAGAGAAAGCGAGTTTTACACCCACCACCCGAATGGTTTTTGATCATTTGGGTTGTTTTGCTTCATCCCTGCTTTTTGTTGTTTAATTTCGATTACAGCGCAAATAGCCTCAGCAGACGCTAACCATTAATTCTGGAACACAGAGCCAGAGTCTCTTTTTATTCCCTCCCTCCCGCCACAGCCCATCTCAACATGGAAGAGAAAGGACCTTGCCCTCCTCCTTGTGCCACTGTTGGAAGGAGAAAGAGCCCTCCGTCCCCTCACGTCTGCTGCAGGACAGGGGGCCCAAGAGGGCCTCAGCACACTGGCTGCAAGACAGAGACCAGGGACCAGAGCCAAGGCAAGCAGAAAGCAAGAAAAGGCTCCTCTCTTGGATCCAAAGAGCCTCCCGGTGCTGGGTAAAGATGCCAGTCGGTGCGCGAGTCTTCAAATGCTGCTCTGCTCCTCCTGCCCCATACCAAGGGGAGCCCCCTCCGGCAACTTTGCTTAATTAACCTGTTCAGAGAAGCTAGAAAACCCCTTCAGCTGAATAGTCCACAGATTGAGCCTCAACTGCCAGCAGATTCCTGTCATGTGTACTATTCAGAGTATTAATTATCCTATCAAATACTCTGTGTTCCTGCCCCACTCTTAAAGAACCAAAATCCAAAGGAGAATGCATTTGCTAAGCAAACCCCGACACACGCACCTGCACTGTATCAGTGAGAGGCGTTCGGCAGGGGAAGATGTGGAGCTGAGGCATTTCCGTACCGTGGTTTTAAACCACTTGCCACCAAATGGTCCTGGTGAAGGCCGAGGGGCCGAGCCAGAAGAACATTGGCCAGGAGCTTGCAGGTCTGGGCTCCGGTTCCCGCCTTCACTCCTCGCCTGCCTGCCTGCCTGCCTGTCTGCCCCTTGGCCTAGTCACTTGTCCTCCCTCACAATCAGCTTCCCATCTGTAAAATGTGTCAGGAATTCACGGGACTGTTGCAAGAACCTGTGAGATAATGAAGGTGGAAGCACTTTGTAAACTCTAAGGAACTACACAAGTCTAAGGGCCCTGGCCATGTCTCAGTGGCATGACCGTTTCCTTCCTCAGAAACCAATAGGATTGGGAAGTAGGTTAGGGTTGGAGGTACCCTCTCAGCCTCACCTATCCCCTCTGAGATACAGGTGTGCTTACCTGGCCCCACTGATAGTGAGACTACCAAAGATGGCTCCATTAAAAAACAGGGCAATATGAGTTGCCTATTAAAAAGGGAAATATGGTCTGATGAAGGTTCTAAGTAAGTTTGGGGGCCAGAGGGTCAGGGTTTAAACCGTTCCTCTGCCCCTGGCTGTGTGACATTGGGCAAGTTGCTTAACCTCAATAAGCCTCCATTTCCTCAACTGTAAAATGGGGGTGGCCATGACATTGGCCTTCTTAGGGTTATTGTAATGATTAAATGAGAGAACGCATGTTAACCATTTGTCCCAGGACCTGGCTCGTGGTCAAGTCAGTAAGTGTTATGCAACCTGTGTACCATGGAGTTCACAGCAGGCCTCCAGACTTGTTTGTAAATATGGTGGGCATTACGTGAATTGGTGGTGTTCAGCCATTCATTTCAGCCACTTTCTCAAGCCATCCAAGGCTTTGTTCAAATGCTACCACCTCCAGAAAACCTTTCTTGGTCCAGTCCCCAGGTCTGCTCCCCACACTGTACTCATGTCACTTGGTCCAGTCCCCAAGTCTGCTCCCCACACTGTACTCATGTCACTTGGTCCAGTCCCCAAGTCTGCTCCCCACACTGTACTCATGTCACTGTTAGGTCGGGGCCAGCTTCCTTGGTACAGGAACTGCAGTGGTAAAGGGCCCTCACTCACAAAGGCCCACATCTGGCTTCCTGCTCTGCTGTCTTTTGGATCAAGAGACCTTGTATTTTCACTTGGCACTGGGCCCTGCAAATTATGTAGCTGGTCCAGGTTACAATATTTCATTTTTGCCCCAATTCTGTCTTAGAAATTGTGTAATTTGTTGTTCACATGCATTTTAGAATACACAATTTGTCCTCATTATTCATGAATTCCAGAACTGTGACTTTGCCCACTTGCTGAATTTATGTAACCCCCAAATCAATACCGTGGCACTTTCACAAACAAGCGCAGATGTGTGCAGAGTGGAGAAAAACGAATCGCTCTCCACACACGTCCCCACGTGAGGTCAAACAAGGGGACGCTCTGCCTGCTTATTTTAATTTTCAACCTGTAAACAAGTGTCCTTTTTGTGGTACATTTAATGACACATTTTTTGCACCTTTGTGCTTTTTTCGATGCTATTGCTGTTTAAAATGGCCCCCAAGGGTAGTGCTGCAGTGCGTCTAGCATTTCTAGGTGCACGAACTCTGTGATGTGCCTTGAGGAGAAAATACGTGTGTAGATATGCTTCGTTCACCCATGAGTTCTGATGCTGTTGGCCATGAGCTCAATGTTAATGAGTTAACAATATGTGTTAAATGTCGTGTCTGTAAACAGACACACACACGAAGACAAGGTATGTATTGATCAATGGACAAAAATGTTGGGACCAGAGGCTCACAGGAACATAACCCTGTGTTTCCCCTAGGAAGAGTAGTTCAGTATTCACTTGATTCAGTGTTCACAGAGACTTTATAGAACATTACTACCATGAATAACAGGAATTGCCTGTAACTCCTTTAAGGTTGATGACCCATTTTATTTATTTTCTCACCTTCCCATCGTCACCTTGGCCCTCTTCTCAGTGCCTAGGAGAGTGCTATGAATATACTGGTATTCAGAACAGTTATCTGCAGTAAGTGACGATTCAGTCTTCGAGGAAATATTAACAGTTGCTTGTTGATTCCGAGATTGTATGGTTTGTTTCATACTACATCACGTTCCCTTTGTGAAACTGGATATTTGAAAGGCTATTCTGCAAAACCTATAGGGTACTCTCAGTTTTTTCCTTGTTGAAATGAAAAAGTAGAGCAGGAAGTGGTCATGGACTAATGCACCTAGATTCTTTATAGTCCTAAGACAAAATATTGAAGACCCAGACTTGAAACATGTTAAGGAGAGAGTTGTCATAGAGTTCTAATGGGATCGGTAGCAAACTAAGGGGTCTGTATCTTGAGGAAAATTCTGGGTAGGGGAGAGTGCCTACTCTGAGTTCCTCTTGAATGAACCATTTATAAGGGTCACTTGGAATAAATAGCCTGGCGAGAAATGGCATCCACTACTTAGGATAGGAGTTAAAGACTTCTAGAATAAATAACCTACTTAGCATCTATCTAAAGCAGATGGGATTATGGGATCCCAAACCAGGAGTGACCCAGCGTCTGCAAAATGCAGAAATGGATGAAATGAGTTTTCTCAGTTGTCACTAGGATGATGCTCATGTCCATTATATCATAGGCGAGCCACAGGTGAGTATATTTTATTTTCTTTTTTTTTTTAGAGATGAGGTTTTACCATGTTGGCCAGGCTGGTCTCGAACTTCTGTGCTCAAGCAATCCACCTGCCTCAGCCTTCCAAAGTGCTGGAATTATAAGTGTGAGCCACCACACCCGGCTGGTGAGCCTATTTTCTAAATATGAAAAATGTCTATTCTTTGTTGGCTGAGTCCAAAACCTGCTGAGGTCTATCATGATCCCCTTTAGGAAGAAGAGAATTTGACTTGGTTGTTTTATTCAAGGCATTTGAGGAATAACAGGTGTGTCAAACGGAGTCAAAGGAATGAGCACCCGGCACCTGGACACAATTGCTCCTCCCATCCCATCTCAGGTCATCCACCTCCAGGTTCATGGTCCTGGCTGCTGGCTCTGCCTTCCCTCTATGGAGGCATCTCCCATAGCTAGGTAGGTTTCTTCCAAAGTGGCCGTCTTTAGAAATAATCGGCACAGACTATGAGGTAAACAAGTAAGGCTGAGAGAGACCTGCCCCTGAGAAAGACAAAGTTCAGATTTGACAGACAACCCATTGACGAGGCCGACATAAAAGCACAGCAGGTAATAAAGAAGCTAGGCATGTGTCCTGACGGCTGATGAATATAATCTGCTAGACAATGTGTCTTTTGAGAAGAGAAATTAAAAGAGCCTCACCACCCTCAATGACGTGTCTCTTTGGGTTTGGCTGGTAAAAAGCAATAAGCTTATGTGAATTGAAAGGCAGGCAGGAAATAGGAGGTTTCGGCTGAAGGAGCGGCAGTCCATAAAGACCTGGCAGGAGGGAAGAGCAGGTAACATGTGCGGGTCTAGAAATAGTACACTTGGGTTAGAGTGGAGAGTGTGAACTTGAATGTGGGATGGGAGGCAGGAATAAAACCTACATTACTCAATTGAGTGATATGATAAAAGCCCCATGAATTCAAGGTAAAGGACTATGTACTCCAGCAGGAGTGGGGGTTTACTATATATCTTCCAGGAGGAGAAGGATATACTAAAACTGCAATTAGAAAAAGATAACAGCAACAGTGGTGCATAGATGATAGAGGAAAGATGAGAACAGGCAGAGAGGCTGGTCAGGAGACTTGGCAGGGAAGGAGGAGTTGGGGACCTGTGGGCATGATAAGGAGAAGGTTGAGTCTGTGGTCTTGGAGACTGGGTAGATGGAGGTAGGGGAGAGAGGCACAGGGAGAAGGAGGATTCAAAGGCGGGATTTTGCGCCGCAGTGACTGGGAAGAAGAAGTGTTGGTGAGTGAGGTAGAGGGAAGATTTTGGCATGTGGTGTTTGAAGATGCTGGAAGCAATTGAAAGTTGGCAGAGTCTGGATATGACTTCATCTGAATTGCATTTCAAATATTAACTCACCAACCGTTCCGACTTTCTTTGTTACCTATTAACATTTCTCAGAGTATGTCCAGGCCCTGATTTCTCAGACCTGGGGTCATCTAGTCATGGTTTAGCCTGGCTCTGATACACTCGTATGTGTTAAAGATGTTTACCCCCAAAGATTCTGAGTAGAGATTGTAACATGTTTAGACTTCAGGCTACTTTTGGAATTAGTAAAATCTTTATCTTACTCTTTTTGCTACCTCCCTCCCTCAATCTTACCTTTCCAATTACACACACACACACACACACACACACACACACACACACACACAGAGTTGAGTTTCTGTTACTCAAAGCTCAGTGCTAGCAATGGTAAAGGATAGATACAGAGGTAAACAAGACACCACACTGTCTTCAAAAGAGCCTACAATCTGGTGGGGACTCCAATGGTTGGCTGGATTGAGCACCTGCCATGCAATGAACACTAAGCTGGGAGGCATTAGAGGCGAAGTGACCTAGTGGTTAGGCATGGATTCTAGTGCCCTGGAGCCAGATGAGCTGGGCTCAAAGTTTTGCTCTCCTGCTTATTCATTGTGAACACTTCAATCAAATGTCCTGGTGCGTCAGTTTTCTTATTTATAAAATGGGCGTAATAATAATTACTTTGTAGGGTTTTATGAAGATTAAATAAGTTAATAAATATAATCAATCGCAATGTATGCTAGGAGCATGTATGAGTTCTCATTGATGAGTTATTTATGAACTCAAACACATTCCTAGTACATAATAAGCACTCCATAAATGTTTGCTATTATTATCTTTGCTCCAGGTTGCCATGGAATGAAGGAACTACGATGGGGATCGAGGTAAAATCAGTGCTAACTCAACAATATTGCAATACATCTTGTTAGAGGGTAGAGTGAACTAAAGAAGGATGTTGTAAATCTCAATCTGATCCATAATCTCAAAACTGGAGATGATTTTTAAATGGCCGATAATTAAATAATCAGTAATGATTAGAGCTGCTAATACAATTTCTTAATTTAAGCTTATCCCACAAAGAACCATTTAGCACTATTTGATTGTGATAATGAATTAGATTGGCCAGGTATTCTTCCTTTTGATTTTGTGAACTATCCCTGGAGACGTGGCTTATTGAAAAATTCATTTCTAATTTTCTGTGGCTGAAACCAGTTTGCTATAATTAATAAATAAACTGATGGATTGTTAGAGATGTCAAGTTACAGTCAACAACTCACAGCACTGGATGAATTAACAAGAGGTGTATATATGCAGAGTCACATGAAGTCAGCTATGAGGCTGCAAGGATGAGCTCTGCGTTGCACAGAAATGAATGACAACACAGGAGCTGGCTGCTTTCTGTCCACCAAGCCACTATGGTAGAGTCTAGGCCAGGCTGGCTCCCCCTTGGGCTCTCCACAGCACTTTGCCATTTTTTTCTTGGAGATGCTTTTCAATCACTACCTTCAATTTGCCATCTGGTGGACCCCTAAGGACTAAGCTCGGATCAGGCTCCTGCTCAGGCTAGGTCAGGTAAGATGTTTGCCTAGAGTGGCCCTAGATCACGTAATCCAAAGGGAAAATATCAGCCCTAGCCAAAAATGAAAGCCAGAGGTCAGTACCAATAGAGTTGTATCAAGCACCAAGACAAAGAGACAAAAGTGAAACTACAAATGAAAAACCAGAGATAAATCTGAAATCAAACAGATTTGAAGTGGTCCAAGATAGCAAAAGTGTGTATCCCAGGGAAAACAGTCCTGACGTGCAGGAGGCTTCCAGGCCCAATCTTACTGGATACGAGCCTAGCTCTGGACGGGAAGGTAGCTACTTATATATGTGTCTTCTCTACACTAAGCTGTAAGCCTTTTGAAAGGCTTCATGTACATATTGTCATTTTTGTGTCCACCATGGAGTCTGAGATACGGCAGACACTTAACAAATATTTTTTAAATGAATGAAGGAATGGGCAATATAGGTGAGAATGCTACTACCAGCAATACTATTACTAACAATCACTAATAACACCTGTCACTTATTGAACATTGACTACGTGCCCAAAATAATGCTAAGCACAAGACATATATATATATATATTTTTAAATTTAATCCTCAAAAACCTTCTGAAGCAGATAATATTTTCACCCATTTCATGAATGAGTAAACTAAGGCTTAGAGAAGTCATCTCTTCCAAAATTGCACAAATAACAAGTGGCAGAAATAACAAATCTGCAAATAGACATCTCAGTCCATGAGCTTGATTACTCCATTGTACCATTTTGGAAGCCCAACCTTGTTTGAACCTGAATTAGATTCCCAAGGTTGTATAAGAGACTTTCCTATTCTCCTCTTCAGCTTCCCACCCAAACCGAGCTCACCCAAACCGAGCTCACCGCCCCCCTTGTGTACTCTTTGGGCACGTCTCCACCAGAACACTCAATACATTGCCAAATCATTGTCTGTTTAGACGAGCATCTCGACGGCAGGGGCTCTTGTTCACTTATGTTCTCCCATTGTGAGTAGCATAATGCCTGGAATACCGTAAGTGCTGAAGAAAGGTTTGTGGGGTTGATTAATTATTGAACTCTGAATAAACAATGGTCATTTCGAAGACTATGTTCTCTGGAGACTTTTTTGATTTTGATCCATGGATTCCCTCATGTACGGCCTGAATGGTATGAGAGATAAGATAACAGCGCTGTTTCAGCGCCTCTCAGCAGCTGCCTTGGGGGCTGGATTTATTGCCTTCTTGAGTGAAATGTTGGCCTTCAATTTTGCTGAGCTGTCAAGAGCAGTGATTTTAGGTGTGTGGCTGTTGGTTGTCCCACAAGCTAACTTTTTAAGTCAAAATTACCACCCGGCACTGAAATGGAGGTTGGTTATGAGGTGTTAACAGGACCTCTGGGCCACCAAGGAGAAAGGGCTGGGGAAGCCAAGAGAAACACCCAGCTCCCAATTTTAAAATGAAATTAGTAAAATAAAGAAATAAAATAAAATAGTAAAATAAAGGAAGAAATTTGAAACTGTAAAAAATTTAAAGCTTTTAGTGAAAAAAAAAAGGAGGGGATAATGATTAACAGAGCAGGCTTTGGAATTAAACAAACTAGTTTAAAATTCTGATTCCTCAGACTGCCTTTGCGACACAGGGCAAGTTCTTGATGGTGAGCCTCGGCTGTCTTGTCTGTCTTGTCTGGTACTGGGGTCTGTCTCTCAGGTAAGCATTAGCTAATGCATGTGAAGTATCTAAAACCACTCCAACTATATAGCAAAGGCTCAATAAAAGGTCGTTGTTATTCAAACAGTTAAATTGTATTCATTTACTTAATGAAGATTTATTCAGCACCAACTCTATGCCAGACACTGTGCTTTACTCATTGACATAGAATGGTGAGCGAGTACGTGCAGGGTCTGTGCCCTCGTAGAGCTTCATGGTGAATTGTAAAAATAGCCATAGGTTTAGTGGGTTCCCTTTTGGTGCCACCCCACTTTGATGCTGAACTCAGCCATGTGACTGGCTTTGAGCAATGGGATGTTAGACAACATACGCAAGCAGAGGCTTGAATAATGTTTGTGCTCTGTCCTGTCTGGCCACTCATAGAACCCCTGTTGCCACTGCTGTATGAAGAAGCCCAAGGCAGCCTGATGGATGGCGAGAGACACATGGCCTAATTGCCAGTGTCTCACTGGCCAACAGCTACCACCTTCTAAAATGTGGGTGAGGCCATCCTAGTACCATTGTTGTCACTTGACCCACCAGCTGACCATAGACACTTTAGAGAACTCAGCAGAAATCAGCTGATCGGGCTTAAACCAGAAAAGCTACCCAGTCGGCTCATAGAATTGTGAGCTACATAAATTCAAAAAATTTAGTTTTGGGTAGTTTCTTACCCAGCCAAGCTAACTGATACAAATGTATAGCCTACCACAAGGGCCAATAAACGTTTTCTGTAAGGGACCGGGTAGTAAATACTTCTGCTTTGCAAGCCATAAGATCTTTGTTGAAACTACTCAGCTCTGCTACTGCAGCTCAAAAGGAGTCACAGCCAATACGGAAATGAGCCATTGCAGCTGGATTTGGCCTGATGGCTGTTGTTTTGCCGACCCCTGCTCTAGCACAAAAAACAGACATTACTCAAATAATCACAGAAAGAAATGTGTGCATGTAAACTGCAATCGCATCTGAGCAGCCAAGGTTCCTCGTGCTGTTAGAAAGAATGATCAGAGAACCTGCCCCAGGCTGGTAATTCAGTTAAGGTGTCTTGGTTAGATTTCCCCAGAAGCAGACCCTGAGATAAGGATTTGAGGATGAGCAGGCTAATCTCAGGAGCAAGTTAGGAGGGTAAAGAAGTGAGAAAAAGAAGAAAACCAATATGGGGGTAGTTAATCAGCAGGTTACCCATGGACAAGGGAGGCTTAGTCCCCTGGGGCCTCCAGGAGACAGGCTAGGTCCCTGGTCGGGGGCGAGGAAGCTGGGTTATATATTCTGCAACTCCCATCCATTGTTGTTGGAGGCTGATCCTGGAGGTGTCAGTTCTCTGCCGTTCTGTTCTGCCCCCACGCACTCCTGCAGCCAGAGAAAGCACTCGGGCAGAGAGGAGCAGCTTGCAGTGAGAAGCTGAACTGGGAGTGAGGCGTGCCAAGGAGATGTGGGTGGGCACCAGCAGCATCTGCCACAGAAGGCTTCCCTGTGGGAGGAAGGTCTGAGTTGTGCTCTAAAAGATGGGTAGGATGTACAGGTGAGAGAAGCCCCAGCTGAAGGGTAGATGTGGAGGAGGTCGCCTAGGAGGGAAGATACATAGAGAAATTAATAGAAGTCTGGAACTAAGCATTTAGGAAAATCCACATGTAACGTAGGTTGAGCCTGAAAGGAGACTACGGCTGTAGTAACAAAGTACCACAAACTCCATGGCAGAAAACAACCGAAATTTATTCTCTCACTTTTCTGGAGGCCAGAAGTCAGAAGTCAAGGTGTTGGCAGGGACGTGCTTTCTCCGATGGCTCTAGGGGAAGATGCTTCGTGGCGTCACTCCAGCCTCCGGTGGCTCCCCGTAGTGGTTGGTATTCCTGGTTTTCTGGACACATCTCTCCAATCTCGGCCTCTTCACCACATGGCCGTCTGCCCTCTGTGTGTGTCTGTGTCTCAATTTTCCTCTGCTTATAAAGACACCAGTCATCAGATGAGGGCCCACCCCGATCCAACAGGACCTCCATTTAACTTGATTACATCTGCAAAGATCCTGTTTCCAAAGAAGATCACATTCACAGGTGCCGGGAGTTAGGACGTGAACTTATCTTTTGGAGGGAATCTAATTCAACCCGTAACAGAGATGGAGAAGGAGCAGCCACAGATGGGAGGAAAGTCAGGAGAGTGTGATGTACTGGATGCCCCCAGGAAAGCAGCACTTCAAGGAAGGAGCGAGCGTCGTAAATAAGATAAAGAGGCCAGGCGCAGTGACTCTCAGCACTTTGGGAGGGCCGAGGTGGGAGGATCGCTTGAGTCCAGGAGTTCGAGACCAGCCTGGGCAACATAGTGAGACTCCATCTCTACAAAAAATTTTTAAAAATTAGCCAAGCATGGCCACACACACCTGTAGTCCCAGCTACTCAGGAGGCTGAGCTGGGAGGATTGCTTGAGCCCAGGAACTCAAGGCTGCAGTGAGCCAGAATCATACCACTACACTCTAGCCTGTGTAACGGAGTAAGACCCTGTCTCAAAAACAAAAACAAAAACAAAAAACAAAAAACAAATAAATAAGATGAAGACAGGAAAGTGTTCACTGGATTTAGAAACAGTGAATATTCAACTCCATTAAGTTGCTGGGCAGTGAAAGGGAGAAATCGAGGCAAAGGTTTACAGGGTTGAGGGAGGATATTTTTTAAGATGGTGGAGATTGAGTGTATCAGTGGAAAGGAGCCAGTTTTGAGGGGGATGTCGAATACAGAGGTAGCAAGCATAGTGCAGGGTCCTATGACACAATAAGACAGGAGAGGGTGGGTTCCTGGGACCAGGCATCTCTGTAAGAGGAGGAAGGAGGAGTGGACGGGTGTAGGCCCCGGAATTCTCCCCTCTGTGCTTTACATTCCCATTCTTCCTGCCAAATGGTCCCCATTGCCAGTCTTAGAATGAAATCCACCTCGTAACAGCTACCAACTGATCTGCCCCCAGGGAGAGCTGTTATTCCATATTTTCCTAGTATTTCCCTTTTGTGACCCTTTGCCAATGTTTATCAATACATGTCTTTTGTGTCTACCAAGGGCCCTGCCTAAAAAGATTGCACTGACAGGATGAAGCATAAGGCTGCAGGGCTATGGGAGATACATGCATTATCCTATTCATCTTGAAAGCGTCCCCATAAGGAAGCCAAGACAGAATTATTATCTTCGTTTTACACAAGAGGAAATGGAGACTCCAAGTAGTCAAGTGCTCTGGATAAGATCACATGGCTCTAAACCCACATTCTTGGATATTTTGTTGGGGCTTTTTCCACTAAAAAAAAGAAAGGAAGAAAGGAACAAAAAAAGCTGTCTTTCTTAATTTGATATTATGAATTGTTTAGAAGTTACATCAGAACAGGAATATTCTGGTTTCTTGGCTTTCTGGAATTTCCAGGAGGGTCATTTTTTTTCAAGACTGGTAGAGTAACAAGGAATATGTATGGCCTTGATGTCCTAGAAATAATAAAGAGGTCTAGTGTCTTGGAAACTAGACTTGCCTTTCTTAGGAAGACCACACAACCAAAGTCAGATGAAACCAAAGGGGCCAGATGAAATGATCCAAGAACTATTTTCCCATCACCTGAGAGCATTTTCTATCCAGCAAACATTTACCAAGCTCCTATTTTGTGCCAGGAATCGTGCTCAGGACTGAGGGGTAAAAATGAATCTGAGGAACAGGCAGACACACATACATGTCTCATACCACTTGGTACAGGCTACCCTGTGGTCTAGGAACACACTCATGTGTTTGGGGAATGATGATACTTCAAGGAAATTGGTGGGATATAGAGTCTGAGAAGAGAGGGTAAGGAGAGAGATAAGGCCAGGAAAGCAATAATAACAGTGATAATAAAGAATATTTATCTGGCATTTACAGTCTACAAGGAACTTTTACATTTTTTTCCATCTAATCTTCACAACAGCCCTTTGAGAAGTAAACAGAAAAGCAGTTTCCCCCATGTGGGTACCTCTGGGAAATGAGCTTTTCCTAAGCAGCAATATATTCAAAATGCATCCGGTAAGAAATCTACCCATATTATGCTACATATTCATTACACTTGTCTTCCTGAATTGCATTTGACAGCTTTTGCCTAGTTTAGGGGTACTCCAATTTATCATGTTTAACCCAAGCAGCACTCCACAGACTGTCTTGTGCTGAAGGTTCCTAATATCACCAACTAAACTCTGAATGCTGTTGAAGTCTCCAGCCCTGACTTCTCCACATTCTGCCTCCTCAACCAAATGTGTGTTATCTGTTAAGACACAGCTCCAGTCCTTCCTGTTCTTTTGTTAACTGATCCCCGACAACGTGGACACCAAGAATTGATAGCCTCAACTGGAAAACTCATTTAGGCGAATTTCTAAGCAACTCTCCTAACAATGAACTTCCTTCTTAATGAAGTGATTCATACTCTCCATTCATTCATCCATCCATTCATTCAATAAATTGATTGAATACCCACTGTATGCAAGACACACTGATAGACCTTATGAAGGACTCAAAAATAACAAGACATGCTCAAGGTATTTGGAGTCTAATGGGAAAGATAAGATGAGCATGCAGATAACTAACATGTAGGTCAAAGTGATAAGTGAGGCCAGGTGTGGTGGTTCGCTCCTGTAGTTTCAGCACTTTGGGAGGCTGAGGCAGGAGGATCACTTGAGCTAGGAGTTTGAGACCAGCCTGGGCAACATGTTGAAACCCCGTTACTACAAAAAAAATACGAAAGTTAGCCAGATGTGGTGATGTGCACCTGTAGTGCCAGCTACTTGAGAGTCCAATGAGGGGGGATCATTTCAGCCCGGGAGTTTGAGGCTGCAGTGAGCTACGATTGCACCACTATACCGCAGCTGGGTGACACAATGAGACCCTGTCTCAAAAAAAAAAAAAAAGCGATAAATGAGAAAAGAGAGTTAGGTTCATACATCCCTTTATTTCTTCAGCAATCATTTTGTATGCACCAATTATGGGAAGGGAACTATGCCAGGTTCTGTCCATATGCTGCCTCACTGAATCCTCAGGACTTGGAGATAGAGGCTCTTAGCTCCATTCTCCAGATGGGGAAGCTAAGGCTCTCCTTATTTAGTTCGAATGGGAGGAACTTCAAGGAGGAAGTTTTTTGGTTGTGTTGGGGTTTCTTTCTTTATTTTATTTCGTTTGCTGTTGTTCAAGTTTGAGGTTTGGGTAGGATTTTCACATTTAAATGGAGGAAGACTTAACATAAAGCCAATGAAGCTTAACCTTCAGGCATCCTAGCTTACAAGGATCCATTTCAAGGTCCCAGGAAGGGCTGCAGAGCTGTGTTCACATCTCTGTGGATTTTTGTAAGATTTGCCAAAGTGATCTATTTTAGCATTCTTTTTGTTAAAGAGACTGTCCCAAATTGTGTACACTTCAGGTCCCACAAAATCTGGATATGCCTTTGCATTTAAAGATGGAATGAAGCACGTGCAGAAAAAGGGGAACTCACTGAGCAGATGTAGAGGGTGACACGGAGAAAGGTCAGCACATGTTGGGAGGAGTGCGTGTGGCCCTGATGCACAGGAGCAATTCAAGGCTAGAAAGGATGAGGAGATGACTTTCCCAACTCCTGGCCCCAACCACCAGGCTCATCTGCATCTGCCCTCTCCTTTCCTCCTCTTGGCAACAGTGAAAGAGGGATCCCTCCTCCTGCACGGCCAACCTCTCCACCCATGCTGGGAGCCCCTCCCCTACAACTTTCCCTATGGATCATTCCCTCTCCTTCCTGAATCTGGAGCTCCACCTGCTCCAGCTCCTCTGGCCCCTTCCTTGATCCGCCTGTTGAAAGAGAAAGAAGTGGGGAGGGAGGGCAGGGAGGAAGGGAAGGAGAGAGGGAGGGGAGGAATGGGAGCGGGAACCTCTTTTGAAGATTGTCCCTCCCAGGACTCAATCCTCTTCTTTTCCTCCACTATTCATGGCTGAAGTTCTTGACAGACTTGGTCTTCACTTCCTGCTTCCACATTCTCACCTTGAACAACTTGTCAACCCAACCTGGATCCTCCCCATACCAGCACCAACTCCTGGGACACTGCTCTTGTCAAGGTCCCTGGATCCTCCCCATACCAGCACCGACTCCTGGGACACTGCTCTTGTCAAGGTCATTAACAATCTTCTGACTCAGGACAACCAAGAAGTGCTTTTCTGTCCTGACTTTACTTGGTGTCCTGCCTTGGATTACCCACTTCCCTGGGTTTTCCTCCTGCCTCTGTGTCTCTTCCTTCTCCGTCTCTGTTGAAGACTTTCCTTGGCGCTGGTGTCCTTTGGCTTTTGTCTCAACCTTTCTGTTTCTGTCAGTCTCAATCAGTATTTCTCCTCGTGTGTCTCACAGGCACTGACTCTTAGTATGTCCAGACCTGAGCTCACCCTCTCATGCTTCCCCACCCTCACCCAGACCTGAGACCTGCTTGTCCTATGCTCCCATCCCAGAAAACGGCACCACGACCTGCACGCATACCCAAGCCAGAGACCTGTGACGTGGGCTTGTCACCTTCTTCTCCCTCACCCTTCACATCAAATAATTGCCAAGACCTCCTCCCTCAGCACCTCAATGCCTCTTACCTCTGTCAACTCTTTACGCCACCATCCCCAATGCCACAATCGCCCTCTGCCTGAGCTCCTGCAGGGGCTTCATAACCACCTCCCTGCCTCTCTTCTCCCTCTCTCCAATCTTTTCTCCAAACTCCAGACGGAATGATCTTTCTAAAATGCAAATCTATTCATAGCGCTCTCCTGCTTAAACCCTTCCATGGCCTCCCACTGCTCAAGATTAAGCCTGAACTCCCAGACAGGTTCTTCCAGTCTGTTGTAATAGAGACCCACTTCCTCCTGTCTTCACTTTCCCTCTCACAGGCGATGGCTATATTGAACTGCCCGCACCCCCTTATCCCTGGGTAAGGGGTACCTGCTCCATTTGCCTTCCCGTCCCACACCCATTCCATCTTTTCTTGGCTCCCTCCTATGCCTTCTTTGGGTGACTTCAAGTGACTTTAGATAAGTCACCTTTTCCAGGATGCCTTCCCTGACCTCACAGGGGCTCCAGCTGGGCAAGTCCTTAGCACCCTGGTGTGACCCCCTCCACCCTCTGGGGTCCTTGAAAGAAGGACGAGGACTTTGTTGGCAGCACTGTGCACACAGAGGGGATGCCAATGCCTGGTGCGTGGAGGAATTCGGGGAATACGTGTTGAATAAGTAGTGAGTGAAAGATTGGATGGAGCTAGATCACCCAGTGTATTATATGCTAGGCTGGGGAGTTCGTGTTTTATTCTGTAAGTAAAATGGAGCTACTACAGAATTTGGAACGAGGGAGTGAGTTGACCTCGTCCATGCTTTTGAAAGTTTGCACTGGTTTCTAGAAGAACGAGGTAGGAGACTCTTGCAATGGTCCATGCAGGAGGTAATGAGGTACTGCACTAGACACAGGCAGGTAGAAGGCAGACAGAGGAGAAGCAATGCAGAAATCACATTGATGGATCCCATCAACTGATTAGATTTGGGGTTGGGGGAAGCGGGGGCATGCACAGAGCAGGGAAAATGGTTGTGGATGGCTCTGGAATTTAAATCTAAAATGGGGCCAGATGCGGTGGCTCATGCCTATAATCCCAGCACTCTGAGAGGCTGAGGTGGGAGGATCACCTGAGGTCAGGAGTTCAAGAAAAGCCTGGCCAACATGGTGAAACTCCATCTCTACTAAAAATACAAAAATTACCCTAGTGTGGTGGTGCACGACTGTAATCTCAGCTACTTGGGAGGCTGAGGCAGGAGAATCACTGAAACCCAGGAGACGGAGGTTGCAGTGAGCCAGGATCACACCACTGCAGTTCAGCCTGGGCAACAGAGGGAGACTCTGTCTCAAAATAAATAAATAAAATAAAATAAATAAATCTGGAATGGCCAGGATATGATTATTCTCCTACTGCCAACCATCAGAGGGACGGCCTTTGTATCATTTACACTCAGAGACTTTCCAGGAGCCCCCTCAGTTTCTGCCTGGAGCTTCCCTAAGATCTGTACCCTTTGTTTTCTGAAGTTTGAGGACCCCAAGACTTCATGCTTCTACCATAAACCCTTATGTGGAGAGCAAATATTTGCAGAGCATGGGGTAATTATTGTTGTTTTTATGGTTATTTATTCAAACAGAATTTGAATTATAAAATTAACAGTGGCTTGCCCTGGTATCTCATCATACACACACAGAGCATAATAACTCCAACCTCGCCCCCACCAGGACTTTAAAGAATATCTACGGCAGAAAGTTATGGGTTTGGCTTTTTATTTTGTTTTTCAATCTTCAAAACTCTCTTCTCACCCTGCCTCGGTGGAGCTGTGTCTTTGCACACCTGTCCTGGGCAGCTGCACCGGCCATCACAGGGAGGGACATTATGCCGCACTTGCCTAGGAAAAGCAGCCACCGTGCCGGTCAGAGACAGGACCACAAGTCAGGAGGCCTGGCAGGCTCTCCACCAGGTGGAATTGGCAAGAAACTCACGTCTTCTCTGCCTCTTCCCACCAAAGGCAACCTTCAGGGCACAAGGTTAATGTGAACACGATTTGTCATCATCCGGCAGAGTCTCACCGGGGTGCCTGTGTTTAGCAGGTTCACTGAGCTCAGTATTTCTGAAGCACTTACTCCTGCCGGACAAGCAGTTACTGATGAAAGCAGGAAGAATAAAAATGGGAATGTTTTCTCGAAGTGAAGTGGGACTTGCCTGTGGGTGCTGCACTCACAGGTAATGGATCAGGACACACAAGTGACAGTGTGGACCTGGAGGTCAGACCACTTGGAGTCAAAGCCCAGCTCGGCCTCTTACTAGTGTCCTGATGACCACTTAACCCCTCTACAGCTCAGTTTCCTCATCTGTGAAATGGATATGATAAAAATAACTATTCCCAGGGTTCTGATGAACATTCATTGAAATAATCAACATAAAGAACTTAGCGTTTAGCAGACTGTAACCCTTAGCTAGTGTGATTTTTCAACCTCCAGACCCCTTTGGTAGAGTAAATAATTCCAATGGTCACCTGTTCCTATGCTGTTTTTAGAGTTTCCCATCCCCATGGGCTGCTGCTGCTGCTTTTTCTGCATTCATGAGATTTTTTTTCTCTCTTGAAAAGAGCTTCCTGCCAGGCGCGGGGGCTCACACCTGTAATCCCAGCACTTTGGGAGGCCAAGGCGGGTGGATCACTTGAGGTCAGGAGTTCGAGACCAGCCTGGCCAACATGGTGAAACCCCGTCCTACTAAAATACAAAAATTAGCCAGGCGTAGTTGCACATGCCTGTAATCCCAGCTACTCAGGAGGCTGAGGCAGAAGAATCGCTTGAACCTCGGGGGTGGAGGTTGAGGTGAGCCAAGATCACACCACTGCACTCCAGCCTGGCTACATAGCAAGATCCCATCTCAAAAAAAAAAAAAGAAAATAAAATAAAAGAGCTTTCAAAATATACCTGCCTCCAGAAATACTCAGTAACAGCTTAGTAACAGGTGGGCAGATCACGAGGTCAAGAGATGGAGACCAGCCTAGCCAACATGGTGAAACCCCATATCTACTAAAAATACACAAATTAGCTGGGGGTGGTGGCGCATGCCTGTAGTCCCAGCTACTCAGGAGGCTGAGGCAGGAGAATCGCTTGAACCCGGGAGGCAGAGGTTGCAGTGAGCCAAGATCGTGCCACTGCACTCCAGCCTGGGTGACAGTGCGAGACTCTGTCTCAAAAAAATAAAAGAAAAAAGGAAACACTGTACCCATTAACAGTCACTCTGCATCTCCCACCGTCCACCCCACACCCTGGAAACAGCAAATCTGCTTTCTGTATCTGTGGATTTGCTGATTATGGATATTTCATATAAACAAAATGCTTCCTGTATTCTTAAGACAAAACCCTTCTCTTCCACTTGGAAGCAGTAAGCTCCACAGTCAACAGTAGATCTTGGGAATCAGGCCCACCAGGGTCTAAGCCCCAGCTCTGCCACTATGGACTGGATGACAGCAGGTGAATTATCTAACATTTCTACAACTTGCTTTTCTCCTCTAGAAAACAAGGATGATAATCACAAGATCCTCACCCAGGGTTATATGAGGAATCAGTGAGCTGACACTTGTCCAGGGTGCTGTCAGAGATTATTAATATTATTTCCTATTACAGCACACAAGTAATGCAAGCTCATTGAAAAAGATATGGTCAACACAGAAATGCATAAATAAGAAAGTCGAGCCCGGGCATGGTGGCTCACACCTGTAATCCCAGCACTTTGGGAGGCTGAGGCAGGTGGATCACTTGAGGCCAGGAGTCTGGGACCAGCCTGGCCAACATGGTGAAACCCCATCTCTACAAAATACAACAATTAGCCGGATGTGTGTCGCGCACCTGTAATCCCAGCTACTGGAGGGAGCTGAGGCAGAAGAATCTCCTGAACCTGGGAGGCAGAGGTTGCAGTGAGCTGAGATCTCGCCACCGCACTCCAGCCTGGGTGATGGAGTGAGACTCTGTCTCGAAAAAACAAACAAAAAAAAAAAAGAAAAGAAAAGAAAAGAAAATCACCCATATCCCCCAACTGTGCTGTGGGTTGAAGGTCTGTGACCGTGGCTCACCTTAGGGCTAGCCAACAACAGCTGCAGCAATAGCGAGTGTTGAGATGCATGGACAGAGCATGGGCTTTGGAGCTGGACAGACCCAAGCCTGCCTCTCTGCCCTGTCACTCTATGGTGACCTCGGACAAGTCACTTAACTGCCCTGAGCCCTGTGTCTTTATCTGTCATGGTTAATGGGAAACATCTCCTTCCTAAGGTTGATGTGAGAATTTAAAAGAGATGAATCCCAGCAATTTGGGAGGCTGAGGCAGGAGAATCGCTTGAGCCCAGGAGTTCGAGGCCAGCCAGGGCAACATAGCAAGAGTCCCCATCTCTACAAAATACATTTTTTTTAATTAGCTGACCACGGTGGTGAGTGCCTGTAGTCCCAGCTAGTTGCGAGGCTAAGGTGGGAGGATTGCTTGAGGCCAGGAGGTCAAGGCTGCAGTGAGTTGTGTTCATGCCACTGTACTCCAGCCTGGGAGACAGTGTGAGACCCTGCCATAAATAACTAAATGAATAAATAAGATGTTCAATGTCAAATGCATGACACATAGTAGGGTCGCAACAGCCACAGGCATGAGTGGGCCCTGGAGAAGGCAGCACACGAGAAGAGCCATTCAAGTTGCAAGTACCAATCCCAGTGGCGGTGCAGAAACAGGGGAGGAGGTGGGAGACTCGTGGGGCAGTCAGGATTTCCAGAGATGCCAGGAAGGACTTTGCAGGCAGGGAGAAGGTGCTGAGTGCAGCAGGGCTGTGGGCTGTTTTATTTCCCTCCCTAACCTTCACACTCAGTCGCTCCCATCCCACTAGCTCATTCACTCTTCTCCACATCCCCGTGTTCACAGCAAAGCAGCCTGTGGGTGGTGCAGAAGATGGAGAAGTCGTGAGAATAATAGCAACAATAGCAATAGTAATAGCTGGCATTTTTACGGAGGGTTGCTGTGTGCCAGGCACCAAGCCAAGCCCTTTCTCACTTCCTCCTCAACTACGAGGGGGTGGGGAGGGGGCCGAGGGAGCTTCTGCTGTAATAGCCTCTCCGTGAGGACGGGAGACCGCAGAGGGGCTGCTCACGTGCCGACGCGCAGGGATCTCTGGCCCGCACCGGACCTGGGCTCTCCCAGCCCCACCGCCGTGGAATCTGAGGGACTTCACGCTTCTGGGAAAGGAACAACAAAGAAGGCATACACAGAGATTTTGTGCGATTCAGAAAGACTCCAGAGAGTAACAGGCCAGCTTCCCTCCGGTATTGGAAGCTACTCTATGAAACTCAAACTCATAGGCCAAAACTGCATGCTTTTTTCAGAAGGCCAAAGCAAGTCCACCTCAGCTCAGAGTATGCCAAGCTTCAATTAAATGTAAACGGATCCCTTAATGCATAGAAGAGACAAAATAGGGCTGAGGCTGCATGCTGCATTGAGTCCACATGGCACCAGGGAAGTCTGACCCCTGGGAAAGGGCACGTACAGGTTGGCTGCAGGTGCCCGGAGCATGTAAATAATTGGAAATAATGGGGCTCCAGTAGGTACCATCAAATGCGTGAATGGGATTATTCCTAGCACTTCTGCGAGCCACAGATGACTTGCGCCATCTCCTTTACTGTGCTGAGTAGCGACAGATGGCAGAAGGAGAGTTGGGCAAAACCAAGTCTCGTCTCCCCACCATTAACAAGCTGTGTGACCTTAGGCCAGGCACTTAACCTCTCTGGGTCTCAATTTCCATGCTTTTATAAGGCTGAGGAAAGCTCAATTCCCTTCTGGCTCTAAAATCCCTCTTCACCCCTTCTCACATGAACTTTTGGAATTGGCCACGGAGGCCAAAAGAAGCCGTGGCTGCATGCTGGTCTAGACTGAACAACAGACACCCCAGCAGGCAAAGCCTCGTGCAACATGCCAGGGTGTTCCTGAAATCGTAGAGGTAAATCAGCTGATTGAAAACTATATCATAAAAGTTATGGAAGTCTCACTCTGTCGCCCAGGCTGGAGTGCAGTGGCCCGATCTCAGCTCACTGCAACCTCCACCTCCTGGGTTCCAGCTATTCTCCTGCCTCAGCCTCCCCAGTAGCTGGCATTACGGGAGCATGCCACCACGCCCAGCGAATTTTATATTTTCAATAGAGACAGGGTTTCACCATGTTACCCAAGCTGATCTCGAACTCCTGACCTCAGGTGATCCGCCCACCTCAGCCTCCTAAAGTGCTGCACCTGGCCCCTTTAATCTGTTTCTTAACTTGATTTTCCACAGGTGGATTTAATAAGCTTCAGAGTCAGCTGATCTAGGTTGGAACCCTGGTTCCTGGAAAAATTACTCTCTCAACTTCAGTTTCCTTATCTGTAAAATGGTGTTAGTGCCTACCTTGAAACTTTGTTAGGGAAGCTAGCAGGAATTTATGTCGAGTGAAGCAGAGTACGTTAAACATGAGGTGCTCGCCTCATATCAGCTTTTTTGCACGATCCTCAAAGCAAAACACATGTTCATGTGTACTTGCCTTTTTCTCTGTGGTCTCTTTTAGGTCCTCCAGGACAGGGACAATATTTTTATTCTTGGTAAACCCTATAGTGCTTTGCACAACACTTAGTAGAATAAGTGAATTCATCAATGAACGAAATTACTCTTTCGTTTTTCCCTAAGGTTCTGGTCTCTTTTAGGTCCTCCAGGATAGGGACAATTGTCATTCTTGGTAAACCGAGAATAAAACTTTTCTCTCTGATCTCTTTTAGGTCCTCCATGATAGAGACAATTTTTATTCTTGGTAAACCCTATAGTGCTCTGCACAATACTTAGTAGAATAAATGAATTCATCAACGAACGAAATTACTCTTTCGTTTTTCCCTAAGGTTCTGCCTTCCAGAGTTCACACCATCTCACACTTCATTGTTTCTCCCTTCCTCACAGCCAACATCTCTTCCGGGTGGTAGGTTTAAGTCAGTCTCCGGTCGCCGTTTTTGCAAGTCTTAGAGACTGGCCCTTTTAAAAGAGGATTCCTGACATTTGCATCTTGTGTCAGAACACATGCATTTGCATACGTTGGAGAACCTTGAGGCTCCAGACAGCCTGAAGTTAGAAAGTGCTCAGAAGAGCAAGGCAAGCCTCCCCCAGGAGGGTAGGAAGTGGTAGGCACTTACAGTTAGTGCCAGCCAACTCCTTAATGTCCCAGCCAAATTCCTGGGATGGCCAGTCCCAGGAAACCACATGTTTTTATGCTCAAGCTTGTAAAACATTGTCGTAAGTAAATCAAATTTTTGTCCTGCCCTCTCTGCTTACCAGACCAAGAGCAGTGATTATGAATGGCAAGTGGCAAGAAACGGGGTGGAGAAAAACATCACCAGTGAAGACGGAAATGTGTCTGAGAGGTAGGACGGGGGTGTCTGCTTTCTCAGGGAAGCTCCAGCTTCTGTTCCACCTCCTGGGAACCTGCCTGTGTGTCCTAATGTCCACCTAGCCCGGATGAGACTGGACAATCAAATTCATGCTCCTCCCGCTCTCCCTCACTTTACCTGTGGGGGTGTCAAAGCCAGAGAGTGAAGCCATTAAATCAGTGCAACCAGAAAATTCATGAGCTCAGAGAGGGCGGGTTGCCTGGTAGAATTAGTAAACTTCATGAGGTGAGAACCACATTTCCGTTCAGCTCAGTGTTCGCGGTGCGAGACAATGCCTCGCCCACTCGAAGTGTTTGTTGAGGGAGTGGATGCATAGATGCAGGAATAAACCAGTGAACGAACACATCGCAGCCGGCAGTAAACTCAGCAAGCCCTTCAGGTTCCCTTTCAAGGCGCTAAGACTACCCGTTTTGCAGCCTGGGCTACTTAGGGGTAACAGGTGAGAAAATATCTGTTGAAGTTTCCAGGACAGTGGAGAGGGCAATGCGTGGGCAGGTCCCAGGAGAAAAAAAAGGCTGCAGGTGGGGTGGAGCCAGCCGTGCAGGAAGCAAGTGGGAGAGAAGTAGGAGGTGGGTGCAGCTGAGCGCCCGGGGAAGCCCCTGCAGGAAGGGACGTTGGTCAGGCAGGAGGAAGGAGGAGGAAAGAGCACATCACATCTGTGGTGCCCAGGTGGCCACCCAGAGCCCACTACGCCACATAGGCTGTCATTTAATTCCTTCAAGAGCCCTGTGATTTCAGTATTATTATCTCCATTTTATGTCGGAGAAAACTGAGGCTCAGAAATAGTAAGAAACACAACCAAGGTCAAGAAGCTGGAAAGTGGAATAGCGTTGGGAATTCAACCAAGGTTTCGCCAATTTCAAAGCCAATATTCTTTCCATCCTCCTAGCACTGTCTCCTGGGAAAAATTAATGTGAGGGATACGTATCACATTGATACACATCATCCAATGATACCCTGCCTCCACCCTGCCGCCAGCCACCCAGCCCCATCAGTCCCCAAGTCCCGTTGACTTGTTTTTTCTAAGTTTGACTGGGACCCAAACCCTTCTTTCCATCCCTGGCTGGGCTGCTGCCTCAGCCCATTCCTCCATCACCTGTCACGTGGACCACAGCGGTCCTCTCCTGACAGGCCAGCCACCCTGCTTGCATCTCACATGGCACATCCACAACCACAGTGTTCTTTCTGGAGTGCAAAATGGAATGTTTTTCTCCTGCTCTAGGATGAGGCCCAGATCCCCTAGGTCCTGGCCTGGCTGACCAGCCCAGTAGCATCTCTCTCAATTGGATGGTGATCCCCAAAAAGATATGTCCACACCTAACAACCGGACCCTCTGAATGTGACCTCATTTGGAAAAAGGGTCTTTGCAGATGCCATTAAGTTAAAGATCTTGTGATGAGGAGATCATCCTAGATTACCCAGGTGAGCCCTAAATCCAATGACAAGTGTCCTTTAAGAGGCAGAGAGAGACCTGGTGCGGTGGCTCTCACCTGAAATCCTAGCACTCTGGGAGGCCGAGGCGGGAGGATCACTTGAGGTCGGGAGTTCGAAACCAGACTGGCCAACATGGTGAAACCCCGTCTCTACTAAAAATACAAAAATGAGCCGGGTATGATGGTGGGTGCCTGTAATTCCAGCTACTCGGGAGGCTGAGGCAGGAGAATTGCTTGAACCCAGGAGGCAGAGGCTACAGTGAGCCGAGATCGTGTCACTGCACTCCAGCCTGGGTGATTGAGTGAGACTCCATCACAAAAAAAAAAAAAAAAAAAAAGAGGCAGAAGAGAAGACACAGAGAGTAGAAGACCACGTGAAGATAGAAGCAGAGATTGGAGTGGTGCAGCCACCAGGAACGCCTGGAGCCACCGGCCACTGGAACTTCAGGGACAAGGGAGGATTCCCGCATGGAGCTTCTGGCGGGAGCATGGCTCTGGCAACCCCTTAATTTTGGGCTTCTTGCTTCCAGAACAATGAGAGAATAAAGGACTGTTGTTAGAAGGCACCCAGTTGCTGGTGATTTGTTTGGCAGCCCTGGGAAACTGATACACCTTTCCCATCGTGCTCTAGCCAGACCCACTGGACTGAGAAAGATCTGACAGTTTCCTCAGATTTGCCCAGTTCTCTGTCTGGTCCTTCGCACATGCTAACTCTCTGCCCAAAACACTGTTCCACCCGCTTATTTACAGGCTGACTCCTCTTCCCCTGCCACTTTCTGAAGAATCTTCTCTGGCACATCAGCCAGGTTGGACTCCACTTACAGCGCGACCCCTCTTTCGGTGCACTTCACTTTTATAACACTCATGATACTTTATGGTCATTTTTGGTTTCATTGTTTCATTGGCTGGTAAGTAAGTTCCATGACGGCAGGAACTGCTGTATCCCCAGGCCCAAGTGTGCAGTAGCCACTTCGTCAACATTTTCCCTCTACCTTAGTTCCATTTCCACCTCTGGCAAGCTTCCCCCATTATGTGAGGAAAGCCCATTTTCAGCTGGAAATACAGGAGCGAACCCATGAAAATGGGGTGAGGAGGGCAAACAGAGAATGAAAGAACTTAGTGTCATCTTCAGCCCTGTGCCCAGTCACCCCCAAGGCCAGCGCTGCTCCTGGGCTTCCTAGCCGTGTGAGTTAATAAAGTCTATTCTTTCTTCACACTAGTCTGTGTCTGTTTTCGGTCACTGAAAACAGTGACTGAAAGGATCCTAGCAGAGACGATGCTTCCACTGCTTGAAAGGTACCAACTCACACGTCCCCATGGCCTTTCTAAGAGAGAGTTGCTGAAATCCCTATGTTAGTGAGGAACTGGGGTTCAAGGGACCCTGTCATGTGCCCAAGCTCTCACCATCGTGAAGTGGGCAAGCCTGGATCTGCACCCCATCCACGCAGCAGGCAGGCAGGAAGATCAACAAAGGCCTGAAGAGAGGCAGCAGCCCAATGTCAGGCCCGAAAGCCCTCCAAATACAAATCACAAGAATTGGAGTGCAGGCCAGGCACAGTGGCTCACATCTGCAATCCCAGCACTTTGGGAGGTCGAGGCGGGTAGATCATGAGGTCAGGAGTTCAAGACCAGCCTGACCAACATGGTGAAACCCCATCTCTACTAAAAATACAAAAATTAGCCGGGCGTGGTGGCACGCACCTGTAATCCCAGCCACTCAGGAGGCTGAAACAGGAGAATCCCTTGAAACTGGGAGGTGGACATTGCAGTGAGCCGAGATCGCACCATGGCACTCCAGCCTGGGTGACAAAGCAAGACTCCGTCAAAAAAAAAAAAAAAGAATTGGAGTACGAACAGCAACAACAAAACCCATGGTGCCTGAAATGTCCCCCTTTGTTTCCTCCAGAGTCCGTGACACACTGAATCAATGTGTCTCCACATTGACCTTGAGGACTTAATTCTAATCAGGAGCTTCGTTCAATCTCTTACAAGTCTGATTCTGATTATGTTGCATCTTTAGTGATGGGACCATGAGTACCTAAAAAGTGATGAGCCACACGTCCAGACAATCTGTGTTTAGCATTTATTTATTTATTTATTTATTTATTTTATTTTTGGAGACAGGGTCTTGCTCTGTCGCCAGGCTGGAGTGCAGTGGCTCCATCTCAGCTCACTGCAGCCCCAACATCCCAGACTCAAGCGATCCTCCCACCTCAGCCCGCTGAGTAGCTGGGGCTACAGGTGCACACCACCACACCTGTCTAATTTTTGTTTTTTGTTTTTTGGCTTTTTTTGTAAAGATGAGGTTTCACTATGTCACCCAGGTTGATATTGAGCTCCTGGGCTCAAGTGATCCTCCTGCCTCAGCCTCCCAAAGTGCTGAGATTACAGGCATGAGCCACAGAGCCCAGCCTGTGTCTGCCATTTAAAACAAACTATGGGCTGGGTGCCGTGGCTCATGCCTGTAATCCTAGCACTTTGGGAGGCCGAGGCTGGCAGATCACCTGAGGTTGGGAGCCCAATGTCAGGCCCGAAAGCCCCCCAAATACAAATCACAAGAATTGGAGTGCAGGCCAGGCACAGTGGCTCACGTCTGCAATCCCAGCACTTTGGGAGGTCGAGGCGGGTAGATCATGAGGTCAGGAGTTCAAGACCAGCCTGACCAACATGGTGAAACCCCATCTCTACTAAAAATACAAAAATTAGCCGGGCGTGATGGCACGCACCTGTAATCCCAGCCACTCAGGAGGCTGAAACAGGAGAATCCCAGGCAGGGAGACCAGCCTGACCAACATGGAGAAACCCCGTGGAGAAACCCCGTCTCTATTAAAAATACAAAATTAGCCGGGCGTGGAGGCGCATGCCTGTAATCCCAGCTACTCAGGAGGCTGAGGCAGGAGAATCACTTGAACCCAGGAGGCGGAGGTTGTGGTGAGCCAAGATTGCACCATTGCACTCCAGCCTGGGCAACAAGAGCAAAAACTCCATCTCAAGAAAAAACAAAAACAAAAACAAAAACAAAAAACTGTGTGGGGCTGGGCATGGTGGCATGCACTTGTAATCCCATCTACTCGGGAGGCTGAGGGAGGAGGATCACTTGAGCCCAGGAGTTCAAGGTTACAGTGAACTATGATCACACCACTGCACTCCAGCCTGGGTGACAGAATAAGAGTCCATCTCTAAAAATACAAAACAAAAGTTAAAAAAAATTTAAATAAATAAAAAATGAAATAGTGGTTCTCTGCTCTTGGCTCAGGAAAGCCAGGTCTCCCAGGGGCTGGAAAGAGGGACCTTCTAAGGGACAACTTCATTTTCAGACAGTGGCACTGAAAGCACGGGAGAAGGGGAGTGTGACTTTGTCAGTAGCCAGTACCCTGGCTGATGCTCCCGGGTGCTCAGTCTCAGAGGGCCTGGTTCCCATTAACCTGCACTGATGCTCTCGACGCCTCCATGCCCTCGCCTCCTAGATTCCGGTGTTTCTACGTGGAGAACACACATTCCACACCTGCTGTGAATACAGAGCTCTTCAGTGACACGAGTCTCCTTCCTCCGTCCCGAACACGGGGAAAGGGGAGACATCTTCTTTGTTCATGGGTGCTGTTGTCTGATCACCCTCTGTCCCACCCACAGGGCATCTGGATCAGTATTAAATAGCTGAAGGGTCGGCTCAGCAATTGAGTCACATGGCCTCCGCAGCATGGATCAAGTAAGGGTTTCAGAAAAATGTATGTGAACATGCTCCAAGACTGTAAGGTCATAAGGGAAGAAGATTAGATAAGCCAAGTTAAGTGAAAAGTAATTGATATTTTACTGTACTTTTTTTAAAAAAAAAAACAACATTATTTCACTTAACCATTTGGCCATGGGTTAGAAATGAACTCTGGAGACACCAAAAGGGAGAATATACTATTCTCACTTCCAAAGAAATAATATTTTCTCCTCATTTCCCTTTAATTTTCGTTGAGATATGTAAAGAGCCCCCATTGCTTCGTCAGCTCAGCACCAGCCGCATTCTGGGAAACTGTCTGCCCTGCTCCCATGCCCCCTGTGCATGCATATGCGGTGCCTTCAATATGGCACCATGGGAGACTAACTTTTGCTACAACGGGCCTCACCCTTGGCACCGACCATTGGTCAAGAGGTGGGCACCTGATCCAAACGGGCCAATCATAGCCCTCCCCCCAGGATTTGGGAACTGCAACTGACAAAAGAAGTCAGTCTCTCTCTGGGTGTCTGAAAATGAAGGCATGTAAATGCAGAAGCAGTTGGCAGCCCTGTTCCACCATGTGGACTGAGGAATAGAAAATGCCAATCAGCAGAAAGAGAATCAGAGGCAAGGAGAGGAGAGCAAATCCAGACGGCATTTGAGCTTCTAGTTCTAGCTGCTTGCAAGGCCTAGCCATATTCCTCTTTTGGATTCCATTGAATCCAAGTAGCCTTATAATAAAATTCTTTTTTGGCTTAAACTCACTTAAGTTGGATTTCTCTTCCTTGCAACCAAAGAGTTTTAACTAATATGAGAACATAGTCCTATTTCAGTCTCGCTTACATGCTAATCTTAAATTCCTCAACCATTTTACTTTGTGACTTCAAAATGAAAAAAAAAGTGAAAATATTTGAGTTAGACTCTTATGCAAATTAGACTGCAATCATTCTCTTGGACTGTTTCTTCACAGAACACTGATAGCGTTTTGCTCCATGCTGGAATGGATTAAGTACAAGCTAGAAATATAAAAAATGACTAGGTTGGTGGTGTGGCTGTCCATGGTGGATTGTGGCATTTTTATGATTGTCACTAGAAATTTGATTTTCTCTCATTTTAAAGTCCATTTGCAATTGTGTTGTGTTCTCTTTTGACAATCTACCGAAGTCAAATGATCTCTGATCTTTAGGCCTATCAGCATCTCCTTGGACACTCCACATCCCATGAACCACATCCAAAAGCGATGGTCCTTGGTGTGCCACTTCCTGTTGAAGCTGCCTGTCTACCAGAATTAGCCTTTTCAAAGGCAAGGCCCTGTCGGGGAAGGTGACGGGGAGCTGTCCAACCAAGACTCTGTGAAGGAGCTGAACAAACAGAAAATCACTCTGCAAGACTCATAGGAATGACTCCTTAGGAGTCATTCTCTCTGATAGACGGCAACAAAAACAAAGGTGATATTGCCTCATCATCTTTCTTAAAGGTAGGTGTTTAACATTTTTAAAATCCATGGAAGTGGACTGGGTTCGGTGGCTCATGCCTGTAATCCTAGCACATTTGGAGAACAAGGAGGGCAAATCGCTTGAGCCCAGGAATTTGAGACCAGCCTGGGCAACATGGCAAAACCCTGTTTCTACAAAAAAAAAAAAAAAAAAAAAATTAGCCAGGAAGCGCACGCCTGTTGTCCCAGCTACTCAGGAGGCTGAGATGGGAGGATGACTTGGGCCGGGAGTTCGAGGCTACAGTGGGCCACAATTGCACCACTGAGCTCCAACCTAGGTGACAGAGCAAGACCCTATCTCAAAACAAAACATACAAAACAAAACATGGAACTAGACAAGCTCTTGCCTGATATCTACTTAGGATCTCTCAGGTTTCTCCTGTTAAAAAATACAAATAACCCAAAAGCCACTAGACTTGAGCAAAGACAAGGAAGCGTGTGTCTAGCACATGGCCAGCATGCATGGGCATAACTGTAGTTAGATATTAAAACCCGAAGGCTGGTGGAAACAGTCAGCAGCCCGGTCAGTGCCCTCCCTTATCAGAGTGAGTGTGTCTTTGATCCCAATGAGCCTCAGAAGCTTGAGCAGTATATTAGTCATCATTTCTACTCTAATTAGAAAAGATTTCTTTGTTCCCAGCCCAAGTTCAATCAGCATTTCTGTTAAACAGTAAAAAAAAAAAAAATGAAGTTGGAAAAACATTCGAGTCATTTGGCCCAAAAGGTTTATTTTAAAGATGAAGAGATGAAGTCACTTGTTCAAGACTGCACAGCTGGTTATCAGAGGACTTGAGGGCAGAACTCATGTCACTCCTCACTCATAGTTCCAGGTTCTTAGAAACAAGCACTTTTCAGAAAGTGCTCAGGCCCTCACCCCAAACCTCACTGCTCCTGGATAACCCTGCACGTGTCGAAGCTGTAGATGTCTAAGAAATCAAGGGCACTGGCTTTTCTGCATTCTCCAGGGAGAAAGTTCCAAGGCACTGGGGAGCCAGGGCAGCGGGGTTTTCAAAGGCCTGCAGCGGGAGCCCTGCTCACAGGGATGCCATCCAGATGTCCTCATGTCCCCTCTGCACATGAAAGCCTCACACTGCTCCCGTCCCCTCCAGTCCCCCCTGCCTCCCACAGCAGCAGAACTGCACGAGGCTTCCCCCAGCCCCGGGGCACACATTCAAAACACCTAGGAACGCCGCTGGGAACTCCCGCCTGAAAGGACAGGCCGCCGGCTGCAGGGCGCTGAGATGGATGCAGGGACCTGCCCTTTTCCTCCGTCCGCTGGTTGCCTCCACTGGTCATTTGCTGTGGCAGGGCAGAAGAAAACAACGAAATCGCAGGGCACACAGAAGTCAAACTGACACATAACCACACTCAGAGGAGAGGACCCAACTGCTAAGCAGCTTGAATGGGAAAGTGAGAAAAGCATGGGGTTTTCACATAGCAGGTGGAGTTCGATGCAAACCATCCGGAGCGTCTTGCTAATCATTAGCGATGGCACCTTTGCTCGGTTTCAAGGAGTGCAGTTTCAGGGGCAGTGTTCCCCCTTGAGAAAGAGGCGGTAAAAACAATATACATTTGTTTAAGCTTAGGATGTGAAACACACTGATGTCATGTCTCCTTGGCTTTCCAGGTGAAGGATCGCGGTGTCACCTTTAGGATCCCTCGCCTGAAGTCAGGACTCACCTGAGCAGAATGATGGCTTCTCAGTGAATCCCACTTCCCACTTGCATTTCCAGAGACAAGTCTGGTTCCTCTAGATTCACACACACATAAAGAAATAGTTATCCTTCTCCTTGCCCCTGATCTCCCACTGAACAATGCCTGGGATATGTGGGTTTTGGAGTGTCTATCAGGAAGGATGTGTGGAGGATTTCTCGACCCCTATTATTTTCCTTTCTGTGTACAAGGCATGTGTCGGTTGCTACCTGAGCAGAGGTGGCAGCTCCATATAGGCTGGCTAAGAGAAGAAAACTGTTCTCACTCAGATTCTATAAATTACTCGCATTCTCACTTTAATATCAAGTATGATATATATTAGAGTGCATGGTTTTGGCTAGAATCAATTTGGAAGGCTGTCAAATAAAACACAAAATGGGAAAATAAATCCAAAGGAAAATTGATGACATGATTTTACTCCCATTACATTCCACTTAACAAATGCATATGTTTTACAATATCTTTAATAATAATTATTAAACATAGTAAAATACTTCCAAACTTGGCTCATTGCATAATTGTACTTCGAGTGAAAAAAAAATTATCTGAAGTCTTGTCAATATGCCACTTCCTCCTCCCCCAGCTTTTAACAGAAGCAGCCTCCAGTGGAATAATCCAAGCTGTGTTCAAGAAGTTGGCAAGTAGGTCCAATTAAATGTGGTTTTACTGTATTCTGGCGTTTGCATATCTAGTTTGCCAAGAAGTAATCTTTCACAAAAAAAAAAAAAAGAAAGAAAGAAAAAGAAAAAGAAAAAAAATCTGTACTGGCCCAGACACAGCCTGGATGGTGCAATGCTTCACATAACTTTACCCCATGACTAAGATAATCGTTTTTTCTTAAATAGCTGTGGAAAACGTATCATACATCCATCATACTCCTATATGAATCACAGAACACCATCCTTTATGGAGCTTCTTACATTTATGCATGACAAACTGAAATTCATCTTCATAGCTCTGTTTATTTTAATTATTAAACTCAAAAGGGGTTAGCTTTTAGCCACCTGAACTTGATGTATTTATTCAGGTGTACTCCAGTTGGATTATCTGAACGAGGCTATAAATGATCCTATTGACTATTAAAGACCGACCTGTCAAAGCTGCAGTCATACACATTCACAACCCTGGCTACCTGAAACTCAGAGGATAAAATGCTTCTCTAAGCTTTGCAAATGAAATCCCAGGCAGTTCTTTCCTGATGTTTTACACACCCTTGATCCCTTAAGGAGGAGCTGACTCGCGTAGCCCCTTCCAGCTAACCACGGCTCTACATGAACGATCAGCCGTATCCAAAGTCCAGATGGAAAGCTGTCAACAAAGAGACTCCTTCCACTCTGCCTACTACATGATTCATCCCTGGCGTGAAGACAGGCCCGGAGATGGCCCCACCACCCCGACTCCCATAGGTGAGCCAGGAGAGAAGCACAGGTGCCCACTCCCCAAGTCAGCAGGGAGGAATCAGGTCAGAAAGTGCTGGAAAACACACAACCTGGCCTTTGTTAGAAACCATCATGAGCTCATTAAAAACACATGCAGAAATGGTTAAACAAAATTCTCTAAATCTTTTACAAAATTGCCAGTCTATTAGAAGGACTGAGCTCACAGCAAACTCTCCCTTCCAATGTGTGCAATGGAGCAGCTAATGTCCTTTGGACTCTTGTCTATGGCATCAAGCAGAGGGAAGCTTGGGGCGGGGGGTTGTTTGTTTTTGGTTCTTGTTGTTGTTTTTTAACTTTTTTTAGAGACCAAACTGTGAAATATATCAACCAAAAGAATTATTTCACTAAACATGAATTATTATAGTCATTGCCTTAAAAAACTTACAAAAATTACAAAGTAAAAACGGAGATTTGGGTCATTATAGCAAGGGGAGAAAGAAGGAAAAAAATAGATGACTGTGGCTTGAATGCTTTTGTGAGGTGGCATTGCATCAAAGAGCAAAGTGGACACGCTGAATGGGAATTCTGAAGGCATCCAATACGCGGCCCTGTTACGTGAAAAAGTTGGATCGTAAGTTTGACCCGTGCAATATTTACCCAAAGTTTTCTTGTAAGCAGCATTGCACATAGCAGCATTGCATTCCATTGCACTGTGGCCTTTCACCAGGTGCCTTTTTCTCCAAATGGATTTATTCGCTGTGATACAGTATAGCCATAGATTTGCATTACACCACAACGTGGGCTGCACCTGCACATAAAAGAGCACATAGATGAGGCAAGGCCTGAGATTGAGATGCTCTGAGGTGGGCTCTGGCATGGGCCACCTTCTCCTGGTGAGAGTGGAGTAAATCATTTAAATCTCCGGGTAAATCATTTTAATATGTGTGCCTCCCAGGGGAGCTGTGCTGGTTTGTTATTATATATATTAATCATACTTTTAAAAATACTTATGATACAAGAGTAAACATGAACCAACGCTTTCAGTCTTGATTTCTTCAGCCTGAAGAGAAAAAATATCTGTATCCAACTTAGCCTTTGGACTAGTTAATCAGATAGAAATTTGAAAGGGCTTTGAGAGATTTGGGATTTGAGAAAAGAATCACAAGTACAATGTAAGTGATATGAGATGTGTATAGCTAAACACGTACACACCTGCAAAACCCACCTGAGGATGCGGAATCTTTTTCATTACTATGGTATTTTAGTTTTCACATTTCATGCAGAAACTGCTTTCCTGCTTAATACTGAAATAAACTTGAAACTATCAGTGCTTGGTGAATTTAAATCACAAAAACCCACATTGAAAAAAGTCTACCTTGGTAGGAAGGCTTTAGGATAAGGAAAAATTTCGTCTTAGTGCAAAAAAAAATTATTATTGTAATAGTGAGGTCACCTCAAATTTGCATAGCATCTTTCCTCTGAAAGCTTAATGCTTTTGCATATTCATTTTCATGTTATTCTAAAGAAAAAGGTGACACGGGTATGAATATGCTGGTCTTACAAATGGAGAAATGAAGGTATCAGGGTGGGTTTCCTCGGGTGTTTCATTGATAGATCTTCCCCAACTTTCTCTTGAGCCTTCTTTCCAGTAGATGATGCTGAGAGGAGGTGAGAAACATTCCAAGAAACCAAGGCCAATTTTTAGATTAAGTGGAAAAATATTCAATTCTCCCATTTCAGCAGCAAACAAGTTTTGAGGATCCCGTTTGGCTGCCGCCCTCGGTCCATGTTTCATCTCTCCCTTCTGCACGTCCAGCAACAGCTCTGACAACCCTGCAGTGACTAGCTGCAAGGAGCAGTGCCTCGTTGTGGTTGAACAAATAACATGTTTTGGAAACCCAAGCAACCCTTTCGTAGCTGGAAGCAGAGAGGGAGAGTGTGTTGGTCAGGAAGATCCTGACAGGGTTTTAGCTCTTGGTGAGCTGGAAGGAGATGGGCCAAAACATGTCCTCTTTGACACCATCAGAGAACGTTCTGCTGTATGTATTTTTTAAATAGTTGATAGGGTCAAAGTCAGGAAAAGAAATAGTATCATTCCAATCTTAGATTCCATTGGTAAACATAGATCGCAGACAATGGTACATGTAATCATGGTAAATAGATATTTGCATAATGCAAATTTTATCACCTAGGCATAACCAGAATGTTGATTTCAGATTCAGACTTGATCAAAGATGTGCCCAGAGCAAGGAGTTGAGCCTTTGTGAGCCTCTAAGCAGAGAAAAAGTCATCTATAAAATGATAGTACCAAAGGTTTGGGGAAGGTATGAAATGTTTGTAAAGAGCTTTGAGCCGCTTCACCTCCCCATGCCTGCTCCTCCACTTTCAGGATGAATGAACCGGAAGTCACTGTTGCCCCTTCCAGCTGTAAGTTTTTGTGACTTTCAATCAATCACTCTCTGTGGAAAAGCACGTGATGCGGCAGTCTGTAAGCGGGGATGATCAGACATATACTGTAGGTCTACAAATAATGGAAAACAATTGGGCCATGCTGGCCACTGGATTTTTATCATTTGAATAACAGAATTAGTTCATTATTTCAAAAGGGACCAGGCCA